>NC_000006.12:123252608-123555638 GCF_000001405.40 Homo sapiens
ATTTTTAATTTTTTAAAATTTTTATTTAGAGATGGGGTCTCAGTTGCCCAAGATGACATGAAGTGGTACAATCACAGCCACAGCTCACTGCAGCCTCAAATTCCTGTGCTCAAGCAATCCTCCCTCCTCTGCCTCCCGAGTAGCTGGTATTACAGGTGTGAGTTACTATGCCTGGCTGATTCTTTGAATATCTTGGTTAATCTATTTTATCTAAGAAAATATGTCAGCTATCAAAAAAGCTATTCATCAAAGTGTCACAAAATATTTATGCTTTTAAAATACTCTTACTAAAATCAAGATCTTTGTTAAATTAAGAGTTTTGGCTCAACTATTATTATACTTAGCTTGAATAAAATTACTTTGCATTATGTAACAGCTAAATATTTTCTTTAAAATTCCAAGACTTTATAAAATATATCATTTAGAATTATTTTTCTTTCAAAGATAGATAAAATAAATAATTACCAGACTATAAAATACATCTTAAAAAACAACATGCAAAGTAAGTTTACTTTTTCATAATAATTTATTTATTCTAATGAGAGGTTATTATTCTTCAAAGAAATGTGCTTTCTTATTAAGCTGTATTTAGGACAAAATAACTAAGGTGAAATTATTGTCCCAAACACTAGAGCAGACATTCTAATTTCTTGAAAAAGACTAGTAACAGTTCCATTCTAACATTAGTCTCATTTAAAGAGCCAGACTAGAAAATATGATTTTTAAGCTACCTGTATTACATGGTTTATTTTGAGATTTGTAGAGTTTCTAACATAAACCTAAAGATTAAAATTTTATAAAAATTAGGTTATTCCTATTAAAAAACATTTTCAGCTTGGATACATGTTTTCAGTATTGTTAGAGTACTATGCTTCATGCATAAAATTATGAAATAAATAATTTGGAAAACTCTTTCACTAAGACTAACATGTTATTATTTTTTTCTTTAAAAATACTAGCATTGGTTAGGAAGACAGAAATTTAGGGGAAAAATAGACTTTCACTGATATAAATGAAGGAATGAATAAGAATATGCCTGCTCTCAATTATCTCTGAGTTGGACTTGTGCTTTCGTACATAATCATTTTTCTCCACTGTTTTCCCAAGATGAAGACTTTAAAACGATAGATTCACAGAACAGAGTGAGAAGTCTGAATCAGAAGTCTGAATCTCTTGTACAGCTGAGTTACAGAGGTTTCCTCAAATCATCTCTCTAGTAGATCACTCCCTTGGGGGCAAATTGGGATATACTCTATCCTTGGGCTGCTGTGATTGGCAGAAAACTTTCTCTTGTATTTGCAGCAGCGTAATAGAATACTGAAGTACGAATAGATGGCCTTAACCATTATAGTGTTTGAAAACATACAAACTTGGAGCCAAATCTTGTCTGTACCATATAAATACTCTTGAGATGTTAGATTTTCTCTTATTGCACTTATTTCATCTTTAAACTGGGCATGATAATTGGGCCTTACTAAGAATCAAGTAAACAATAGGAAAAGGTATAACCATACATTTTCTAATTAATTTATTTTTTTCTCATCCTTCTGGCTGATTATCTCAAAGGATATTAAACAATATTTAAAAGAATGTTTCAATATAAAAATTGTGCCCCTATATTATTCTACAAATGTAATTGCCCTTCAATTGAAAGTTTTACCTCTTAATATTAGTGATAATTATGAATACATTAATAATTTTACGTGTGAAAGGTATGTCTAGATATGTCTAGTCATTTCAGGGATACACATTTCAGTGAGCAGTAAAAGGGAGTCAGTGAAAAACAAAGCTTTTTCTCTCCCTACTAGAGATTTATGTATTTGCTATGAATGAAAATAGTTGTCTTAGTTATGATATGTTTACCTAGCACCTTCGAATTTAAAGCACTTTTTTAAAGTAATTGAATTTCCCTAAAATTATGTTGCCAAGGCTACATAATTTAGTATAAACGTTATTTACAGTTTTATGATAATATCAGCAAAATAGATCATTCTCTTTTTAAGAAAAAAATGTCTGCATTGTGCATGCTGGCATTTGCCTATTTTGTGTCTAGGTTGAATTAATTTAAAGGTCTAATTTATAAGCAATAAAAAATATATTCATGATCTTAACTATATGTTATTTAGTGATAGATAAAAATAAATCCCAGTAATATTTATTTTTACTACCATATTACTTTTGACATTATTCATGCTAAAAAAGTCTTTGTAATTGATAATTTTTCTTCTGATGTGTAACAGAATATTTGTTCATGTTAATGTTGCTAATAGTTCTGATTTCTTCATGTTTTCTTATTTTCTATTGAAATATAAGCTTTCTGCTAGATTTTCTACCTGTCCACTTCCTCTGCTATTAAGAGAAGTTTGCATCTTCTAGATTTCTTTGTTCCAAAATAATTTAATATTAATATTAAGCAACAACATAATTCATATGTTTTCATACAAACATAGTAGTTACGTAATTCAAGATTACCTTTTGTCACATTGTGTAATTGAAGACTTTCTTTTCTTGTTGAGACTGTTAATAAGGAAAATGTAAATTAAAATATAAATTTTTAAAGTAAATTTCCATCAAAATTTTGTCTCACATCAACGAATGAGGATAATTTAAGTGTTATAAATATTTTCTCAAGTTGGTTTTCAAAAATTTTTCTATCCAACTGGTACCTAACAAAAATAAATGTTAGCACTAGACATTGTTTTATAAACAGAGGTATAACATGAATGTAGGAACAAAATTAACTAGAATGTATGAAAAATGGGTCATTCTGATTAACTGGATTTGGAGATAAACAAAAAAGAGTTATTTTGTTATTGACAATAATTCTGATATGTCTAAGAATGCTTTCCTCCTGCTCCAATAAACTATTTGATAATTAAGACCTTTGTAAGCTTTATGATAATTATACTCAAATCAGTAATTGTCATCTTATATGGTGTAGTTTGCCAAATAAATAAACCCAATGTTAAGAAAAACGGCAGCATTTTGATTCAGTTTATACTTTGCTCATCAATGGCAGAACAAACTGATGCTTATTTGCATGGGTTGGCTTACCATCCATTGCTTCTTTGACACTGCCGTTACTACACAATCATTTTTATTGTGTTTTTTACTTACCATATTTCTTCTTTTACTCAGGCTAACACTCATCACATACATTTAGAAAAGTTTTTTTTCATATGATATAAATACATTTTGACTTAAAATATTTTAGCTTCAGGGCTTTGCATTCTATTTTTTATTCTTTTAAAAAATTACCTTTTTCTTCTCTAAGATGCTTCATGTCTGCTTTTTCTGTATAGAAGAAACAGTAACAGGGTAATTTATTTTTTTATTTATTTTTAATTATACTTTAAGTTCTGGGATACATGTGCAGAACATGCAGGTTTGTTACATAGGTATACATGTGTCATGGTGGTTTGCTGCACCCGTCAACCCATCATCTACATTAGGTATTTTTCCTAATGCTATCCCTCCCCTTAACCCCCACCCTCAGAGAGGCCCCAATGTGTGATGTTCCCATCCCTGTGCCCATGTGTTCTCATTGCTCAACTCCCACGTTTGAGTGAGAAAATGCAGTGTGTGGTTTTCTGTTCCGGTGTTAGTTTGCTGAGACGATGGTTTCCGGCTTCATCCATGTCCCTGCAAAGGACATGAACTCATTCATTTTTACGGCTTCATAGTATTCCATGGTGTATATGTGCCACATTTTCTTTATGCAGTCTATCATTGATGGGCATGTGGGTTGGTTCCAAGTCTCAGTCACATGCTATTTCTGGTTCTAGATCCTTGAGGAATCGCCACACTGTCTTCTGCAACAGTTGAACTAATTCCCACCAACATTGTAAAAGCATTCCTATATCTCCACATCATCTCCAGCATCTGTTGTTTCCTGACTTTTTAATGATTGTCATTCTAACTGGTGTGAGATGGTATCTCAGTGGTTTTGATTTGCATTTCTCTAGTGACTGGTGATGATGAGCTTTTTAAAATATGTTTGCCTTCTTTTGAGAAGTGTCTGTTCATATCCTTCAACCACTTTTTGATGGGGTTGTGTGTTTTTTTTTTCTTGTAAGTTTGTTTAAGTTCCTATTAGATTCTGGATATTATCCCTTTGTCATATAAATAGATTACAAAAATTTTCTCTCATTCTGTAGGTTGCCTGTTCACTCTGATGATAGTTCCTTTTGCTGTGCAGAAGCTCTTTACTTTAATTAGATCCCATTTGTCAATCTTGGCTTTTGCTGCAAATGCTTTAGCTGTTTTAGTCATGAAGTCTTTGTCCATGTCTATGTCCTGAATGGTATTCCCTAGGTTTTCTTCTAGGGTTTTTATGGTTTTAGGTCTCACATTTAAATCTTTTTCTTTTCTTTTCTTTCTTTTTTTTTTTTTAGACAGAGTCTCACTCTGGCACCAAGCTAGAGTGCAGTGGCATGATCTTGGCTCACTGCAACCTCTGCCTCTCAGGTTCAAGTGATTCTCCTGCCTCAGCCTCCTGAGTAGCTGGACCACTGGTGTGTGCCACCATGCCAGGCTAATTTTTGTATTTTTAGTAGAGACAGAGTTTCACCATGTTGGCCAGGGTGGTCTCGATCTCTTGACCTCGTGATCCGCCCACATCAGCCTCCCAAAGTGCTGGGATTTCAGGCATGAGCAACCACGCCCGGCATGTTTAAATCTTTAATCCATCTTGAGTTAATTTTTGTATAAGGCATAAGGAAGGTGTCCAGTTTCTGTTTTCTGCATATGGCAAGCCAATTTTCCCAACACCATTTATTAAATAGTGAATCCTCACTTTCCCCATTGCTTGTTTTTGTCAGGTTTGTCAAAGATCAGATGGTTGTAGATGTGTGGTGTTATTTCTGAGGCCTCTATTCTGTTCCTTTGGTCTATATTTCTGTTTTGGTACCAGTACCATGCTGTTTTGGTTACTGTAGCTTTGTAGTATAGTTTGGAGTCAGGTAGTGTGATGCCTCCAGCTTTGTTCTGTTTGCTTAGGATTGTCTTGGCTATAAGGACTCCTTTTTGGTTCCATATGAAATTTAAAGTAGTTTTTTCTAATTCTGTGAATTAGTAGCTTTATGGAAATAGCATTGAATTTATAAATTACTTTAGGCAGTATGGCCATCTTCACAATATTGATTCTTCCTGTCCATGAGCATGGAAGGTTTTCCATTTGTTTGTGTCCTCTTTTATTTCCTTGAGCAGTGGTTTGTAGTTTTCATTGAAGAGGTCCTTCACATCCCTTGTAAGTTGTATTCCTAGGTATTTTATTATCTTTGAAGCAATTGTGAATGGGAGTTCACTCATGATTTGGCTCTTTGCTTGTCTATTATTGGTGTATAGGATCGCTTGTGATTTTTGCACATTGATTTTGTATCTTGAGACTTTGCTGAAGTTACTTACCAGCTCAAGGAGTTTTGGGGCTGTGACGATGGGGTTTTCTAAATATACAATCATGTCATCTGCAAACAGTAACAATTTGACTTCCTCTCTTCCTATTTCAGTACCCTTTATTTATTTCTCTTGCCTGATTGCTCTGGCCAGAACTTCCAATACTATGTTGAATAGGAGTGGTGAAAGAGGGCATCCTTGTCTTTTGTCGGCTTTCAAAGGGAATGCTTCCAGCTTTTGCACTTTCAGTATGCTATTGACTGTGGGTTTATCATAAAAAGCTCTTCTTATTTTGAGAAAATTTCCATCAATACCTAGTTTATTGAGTGTTTTTAGCATGAAGAGGTGTTGAATTTTGTCAAAGGCCTTTTCTTTATCTATTGAAATAATCATGTGTTTTTTGTCATTGGTTCTGTTTATGTGATGGATTACATTTATTGATATGTGTAGGTTGAACCAGCCTTGCATCCCAGGGATGAAGCTGACTTGATTGTGGTGGATAAGCTTTTTAATGTGCTGCTGGATTCGGATTGCCAGTGTTTTATTGAGGATTTTCGCATCGATATTCATCAGGAATATTGGCCTGAAATTTTCTTTTTTTTGTTATGTCTCTGCCAGGTTTTGGTGTAAGGTTGACGCTGGCCTCACAAAATGAGTTAGGGAGGATTCCCTCTTTTTGTATTGTTTGGAGTCATTTTAGAAGGAATGGTACCAGCTCCTCTTTGTACCTCTGGTAGAATTCGTCTGTGAATCCGTCTGGTCCTGGGCTTTTGTTTTGGTTGGCAGGCTATTAATTACTGCCTCAATTCCAGAACTTGTTATTGGTCTAGTCAGGGATTCAACTTCTTCTGGTTCAGTCTTGGGAGGGTGTGTGTATCCAGAAATTTATCCATTTCTTCTAGATTTTCTAGTTTATTTACATAGAGGTGTTTATAGTATTCTCTGATGGTAGTTTGTATTTCTGTGGAATCAGTGGTGATATCCCCTTTGTTATTTTTTATTGTGTCTATTTGATTCTTCTCTCTTTTCTTCTTTATTAGTCTGACTAATGGTTTATCTATTTTGTTAATCTTTTCAAAAAAACAGCTCTTGGATTCACTGATTTTTTTAAGGGTTTTTTTGTGTCTCTCACTCCTTCAGTTCTGCTCTGATCTTAGTTATTTCTTGTCTTCTGCTAGCTTTCGAATTTGTTTGTTCTTGCTTCTGTAGTTCTTTTCATTGTGATGTTAGGGTGTTGATTTTAGATCTTTCCCACTTTCTCTGTATCAGAGTAATATATTTATTAACAAGTCTTCTTAAGGTGAGGAATTGAATTTTATGTAGGCAATATTCACAGTTCAGTAGTAATATGAAAAGAAGTCTGTAGTTTTAATTTAGTAGTAACAGGTAGAGTCTGCTTTCAGTTCTAAATTCCTGATCCTTTTAGATATTTAATAAAAATGCAATAACTATATGTTTTGCATGATGAACTGTAATGTACTATAATTATGATATGTGCTATAAAATCAGTGTCTTCATTTTCATCAACTGTTTTTAAATCATATAATTTGTATAAATTTGTTTTTTGTTCCTCTGTTTTTGTGGCTAATTTGATGTATATGTCTTAAAATGTCATTTTTACCTTTACTTTCTTTTTCAGATATTTCAGTTTTCTTCTTTCCTAGGGGAAAGAAAAACAACAAGAAACCATCATTTTAAAAAACATGACTTTCTTACTCATTCTTGGAGTAAACAGTTGGAGATGAGACTTAATCTTATGAGTGGAGGGAGTCAGGGCTCTCTCATTTCATTTTTGTTATGCTTGGTCATTCTGTTTATGTAGTCACCTATAGGGTCAAAATTTCTCCTCCTCCTCCTCTTTGGCCTCCTCTTCCTCCTCTAAGTCTTTTACTCCTCTTCCTTCTTCTTTTCCTCCTCCTACTTCTTTTTTTCCTCCTCCTCTTCCTCCTCCTACTTCTTTTTTTCCTCCTCCTATTTATCTTCTTTTTTTGAGATAGGGTCTTTCTATATGCCCTCAAATTCCTGGTCTCAAGGGATCCTCCCTCCTCACCCTCCTGAGTAGCCTGGTTTACTTACAGGCATGACCCTGCTACCCACTTCCTCCCCTTTTCTTTTATGCTTTGAAGACAAGCTAGGATAAGCCATGCCTTTGTTAACAAGTTTAAACTAGAAACAATAGGAAAAAAAACTACATGTTACATTTTTACCTTTAGGAAATAAGAATTTGCCTGGCATGATGGATTCATAAGTAAACTAATGAATTAAAGCAATAAAAATGTAACATAATATTTCTAAGCAAAATGTGGATCCAGTTTTCAAAGCAGTCTTGGTAAATAATAATTTTCTTGCTACACTTTTTAGACAAAAGTGAGAAGAAAAACAATATTTAATGGGTGACTTATAAGTTTGTATGCGGTAAGAATGGACACATTGCATCATTTACTCCTTATAACAAGCCTTTTGGGAAGTCATTATGCCTGTTCTGTAGAACAGAATATCTGGAATTTGAGCAGCTAAGGGATTTTCTAAATGTTATACATCTAGAAACTTAAATTTACATACTGTTTCCACAACTGTATCTTATCTCCTCTGAAAAAGTAAATATTTACCTGATTCTGTGACTTCTGATGTTCCTTCTTTAGAAAAAAAAAAAAAAAGAATGTAGAAAGAAAGGAAAAAAAATAAAAAGAAAAAGTATAGTTTTTTATTCAGTAGCAAACAATTGAAACTTATCTTCTGATATTTCTTCCTAAATTACAATAGGCACACATACTCAAAATGGCAAAGAAATGTACTGATGATTAATATTTCTGATAGCTGTAACTAGACATCTATTTTGAAAATAGAACAAATATTCAATTAATCTAAAATGGTATATTTAAATATTATAGAATAGGTTAGATAGAATAAACAAGATCTAGTACTTGATAGAACAACAGGCTGATTACAGTTATCATTAATTTAGTGTGTGCATTTTAAAATAACTAAAATATTAGAATTTTTATAACACAAAAAATATGATAAATGCTGATGTGATGGATACCCCATTTACTTGCCTATATCAAAATATCTCATGTACCCATAAATATATACAACTACTAAGTACCTACCAAGTTAAAAATAAAATAAAATGAAATGTAAAAAATTAAAAAACATACGATATAATTAATGAATTCTAAATTCAAAATTGGTTTTCTTAGTTACAAATTATAAATCTGTTACATTTTTAATCTTCATTGATGCATGCAAACATTCATTCATATAATATTTATTAAAGTAGCTTCATTTATAAGATGCTGTCAGAAATGCAATTGAGTGTGGTCATGGGATGAGATTAAAAGTTAATAAAAACAAACTCAGTTCATATTGACTACAGTCTGATAAGTGATAGAAGACATAAAATTATATTTGCCTTTTGCCTATGCTCATACAGAACCATGCTTTCTTCTTGTTCCTTCAGTAAACTTACAGATTAATATTTCTAAGTATAACCTGGAAAGTTTTTTTTAAAAAAAACTTTGTGTCACAAATAATTTCAAATAATAACATTTCCAGAAAATAAAAATTCTCTGGTAGTTTAAGAAATATCTCTCATAAAATATCAATGTTTTCTACAAACGTGGTATCAGTTTTATCAGTCTTACATAACTATTTTGAGTAGCTATTTTCAAAATTCAAAAAAAAATTAAAATATTTTATGACAATGAAGGTATACAATAAATAATGTTTCATAAAAATATAGTACTTTAAAATGGCTTTATAATGATGTTTCATATTAGCATTCTAGTTTTGACTTCCAACCCTTAATTTTGGCAATAGTGTTCATATTAGTAGCAGTATTACAAACTATACTAGAGAATATCTCCAGCCTAAAGGCTGTACTTAATGTTTAAAATTGGCATTGAATCCATTATGAAGTAGCCTGTAGCTGCATTATTAACGAATCTGTCATGTGCTGTTAAGAAAACAGGTTAGTTCTGGGTATTAAAACATATAAATACAACATCCAGATACACTTTGGATTGAAATGCTCAATTTTTAATCCAGGTTACAGTCTGAGTATTCTAACAGGATTAAATAAACAGCTTCACTGTTTATTGTTGCATATTTACTATTGTTTAAGATGTCCAGGAAAGCCCCGTGATTTTGAATTACAAAATAAAATGTACCTCAGGGCTTTAAAAAAATTAGAAAATAAAAAGCTAATGTGTTAAAATTAAATAAATTGAGGACATATATTATGTGCTCTTAATTTTTCTCAACCCACACAATAACTGTTAGAAGATCTCCATACTGTGTTTATTCAATACATCTAAACAAACAATTGAAAGTAGATAAGAGAGAGACACAATTACTGTGTCTTTTGTTTTTGTTTTGTTTTGGTTTTCTTTTGTTGTTGTTTGTTTGTTTATTTGCACAGGTATTAGTTATCATGGTAAATGTGTTAGCAAACCAGGTATATCAACAGAAAACATGATAGGCATTCCCTCATACATCCTGGTCCAGTGTCATAGACCTAAGAGGTGCTCAATAAATACATGTTCAAGGATTAATAAATGTAATACAGGCATACTCATTTTATTGTGCTTCGCTTAATTGCAATTCTCAGGTATCACATTTTTTACAAGTTGACAGTTTGTAGCAACCCTGTATGATTAAGCCTATTGGTGTAATTTTTCCAATGGCGTTTGCTTCCTTCACATTTCTGTGTCTCATTTTGGTGATTCTCACAATATTTCAAATTTTTCATTATTATTACATCTGTTATGGTGGTCTGTGATCAGTGATCTTTGATATTACTACTGTAATTATTTTGGTGTTCCACACACCACACCCATATAAGGTGGTAAAACTTAATGAATGTGTGTATTGAGACTCTCATTCACCAAGCCCTCTCCCTTTCCTCTAGTCCTATTTCCTGAGACTCGATGGTTTTGAAATTAGACCAGTTAGTAACCTAAAATGGCCTCTTAGTATTCACAAGAAAGAAAGACTTGCACATGGCTCACTTTAAACCAAAAACTAGAAATGATTAAGTTTAGTGAGAAAGGCATGTTGAAAGCTGGGATAGGCTGAAAGTTAGGCCTCACGTACCAAAGAGTTAGCCAAGTTGTAAATGCAAAGGAAAAGTTCTTGAAGGAAATTAAAAGTGTTACTCCAGTGACCACATAAATGCTAAGAAAGGGAAACAGCCTTATTGCTGAGACAAAGAAAGATTTAGTGGACTGAATAGAAGATCAAAGCAGCTACAACGTTCCCTAAGCCAAAACCTAATCTACAGCAAGGCCCTAACTCCCTTCAATTCTATGAAGGCTGAGAGAAGTGAGGAAACTGCAGAAGAAAAGTTGGAAGCTACCAGAGGTTGGTTCATGAAATTTAAGGAATGAAGCCACCTGCGTAACGTAAAAGTATAAGATGAAGCATCAAATGCCGATACAGAAGCTGCAGAAAGTTATCCAGATCTAGCTAAGATAATTGACCAAGGTGACTACAATAAACAATAAGCTTTCAATGTAGACAAAATAGCCTTCTAGGGAGGATCACTTGAGCCCAGGAGTTTGAGGCTGTAGTGAGCTATGATCCCCAAGCTGTACTCCAGCCTGGTGACAGAGTGAGACCCTGTCTTTAAAAGAACAACAACAACTTAACAAATAGCCTTCTATTAAAAGAAGACGTCATCTAGAACTTTCATAGCTAGAGAGAAAAGTCAATATCTGGCTTCAAAGCTTCAAAAGACAGGCTGAGTCTCTTGTTGGAGGCTAGTGAAGCTGGTGACTTGAAGTTGAAGCCAATGCTTATTGACCATTCTGAAAATTTTAGGTCCCTTAAGAATTATGCCAAATCTACTCTGCCTGTGTTCTATAACTGGAATAACAAAATCTAGATGACAGCACATCTGTCTGCAGCATGATTTACTGACTGTTTTAAGCCCACTGTTGAGACCTACTGCTAAGAAAAAAGACTCCTTTCAAATATTATGGCTCATTGACAATGCACCTGGTCACTCAAGAGCTCTAATGGAGCTGTACGAGGAGATTAATATTGCTTTCATGCCTGTGAACACAACATACATTCTGCAGCCCGTGGGACTAAAGAGTAATTTTGACATTCAAGTCTTATTACTTAATAAGTACATTTCATAAGGCTGTAGGTGTCATATATAGTGACTCATCTGATAGATCCGTGCAAAGTAAATTGAAAGTCTTCTGGAATGGAATCACCTCTCTAGATGCTATTAAGAACATTTTTGACTCATGAGAGGGAGTCCAAATGTCAGTATCAACAGGAGTTTGAAAGAAATTGATTTTGACTCTTACGGATGACTTCGAGAGGTTTAAGGATTCAGTAGAAGAAGTAACTGCAGATGTGGTGGAAGCAACAAAAGAATTAGAAGTGGTGGCTGAATTGCTTCAATGTCATGATCAAACTTGAACAGACGAGGAGTTATTTCTCATGGATGAGAAAAGAAAGTGGATACTTGAGATGGAATCTACTTCTGGTGAAGATGTTGTGAACATCGTCAAAATCACAACAAAGGATTTAGAACATTCCATAAACTTAGTTGATAAAGCAGAAGCCAAGTTTGAGATGACTGACTCCAATTTTGAAAGAAGTTCTACTGCGAGTAAAATGCTGTCAAATAGCCATACGAACTACAGAGAAATCTTTTGTCAGTCAATCAATGTACCAAACTTTATTGTTGTCTTATTTTCAGAATCACCACAAATTTCTAACCTTCAGAAACCACCACCTTCATCAGTTAGCACCCATCAACATCGAGACAATACTTTTACCAGCAAAAGTATTACAACTTGCTGGTTTCAGATGATCACTAACATTTTTAGCAGCAAAATACTTTTAAATTAAGCTATGTACATTTTTTAGACATAATCCTCTTGCACACTTAATAGACTATAGTGCAAACATAATCTTTATGTGCACTGGGAAAACAAAAAATGGTGTGATTTATTGTGGTGGTCTGAATGAAACCTGCAATACCCCCGAGGTATGCCAGGACAATGACATCTAATTTTCCTTGAATTGCATTTTTTGAATCACTAAACATCTCTTCATGTGCTTATTGGTCTAGGGCTTCTTGCTCTACCCATTTTCTTTTAGTTGTGCTTTTTGTCTCCAAGGTATGCCTGTGCACACAATATCCTTTGTCAACCAGACTCACTTATATGGTAATAGTATAATGGCTATTACATTAACAAACAGACCATACTATTTAACTTCAGTTATAACTCAAAGAAATTGTGAAATTAAAACAATGAAATAGGACAATTTTAAAATTCTAAAATGGTACACTTACTTGGAGTTGGTTTTGGTTTGTCTAAAAAGGAAAAAAGAAAAAAAAAGAAAATGAGTGATAATTTTCTATCTATGGGTGACATATCAGCCCTTTATATTTCCTATTTTTGCTTTTTATTGTAAAAATAAGACTAAACTTATATCAACAATGAACAGTAGGAAATGTGTTTTTAATAATTTTCATATCATACTCCCAATGAGTTTCTCATGGAGCAGTAAAGCCTGAAAGTATGGAATCTTTTTTGGTCTCTTTTTTATTCCTGTAAACCTCATATTTGATTTGATACAATATTAATCAATGCTCACAAAAATCTGAACTTCTTACTGTTTCTGAAATAGCATAAAATATATATTCTGCCACAGTCCTTTTGGAATACATATTAATATTAATTTATACTAATAATATTAATTATTAATATTAATTTATACTAATAATATTAATTATTAATATTAATTTATACTAACTCTCCCAATCCCGTATGTTGAACAATAAGGTTCCTTTATAAAATCTCAAGAATGAATGGGTGGTAGGTAAAAAAAATCGTAAAGACATTCTATTTTTTTCCAATATAACATGTCTTCTAAAATATATTAACTAAAAACGTTAACTGTGTCATCGTACATCTAAAGTTCTATTTCTTCATAAAAAGTAGAAAAGATTTAGCTATGATTGCAGGATTGAATCATCTAAAATTAAGTAAAATAACTAATAGCTAACAGAGGGAATACAAATTGATACTTTTTTTGTAGATACATTTTGTGTTTATATATATTATATATATTATATATCATATGTATTATATATTATATATATTATAATATGTATTATATATTATATATATTATAATATGTATTATATATTATATATATTATAATATGTATTATATATTATATATATTATAATATGTATTATATATTATATATATTATAATATATATTATATATTATATATAGTAATATATATTATATGTAATATGTATTATATATAATTATATGTAATATGTATTATATATTATGATATGTATTATATATAATATATATATTATGATATGTATTATATATAATATATATATTATGATATGTATTATATATAATATATAGATTATGATATGTATTATATATAATATATAGATTATGATATGTATTATATATAATATATATATTATAATATGTATTATATATAATATATATATTATAATATGTATTATATATAATATATATATTATAATATGTATTATATATAATATATATATTATAATATGTATTATATATAATATATATATTATAATATGTATTATATATAATATATATTATAATATGTATTATATTATAATAATATGTATAATATGTATATATTATAATATATATGTAATATATTATAATATGTATTATATATAATATATATGATATATTATATATGTAATATATTATAATATGTATTATATATAATATATATGATATATTATATATGTTATATATTATAATATATATATATTTGTACTGGTAGATAGATAATGCTAGAAGGATACTTTAAGAAATAACAGTGATTTGGGAGGCCGAGGTGGGTGGATCACGAGGTCAGGAGATCGAGACCATCCTGGCTAACACAGTGAATCCCTTCTCTACTAAAAATACAAAAAATTAGCTGGGCATGGTGGCAGGAGCCTGTAGTCCCAGCTACTCGGGAGGCTGAGGTAGGAGAATGGTGTGAACCCGGGAGGTGGAGCTTGCAGTGAGCTGAGATGGAGCCACTGCACTCCAGCCTGGAGAGAGAGATTTTGTCTCAAAAAAAAAAAAAGAAGTAACAGTGATTACCTCTGGATATCATCACATATTTTTGAAATGAGAACTGGTAGAATTTACCAAAAGAGAGAGATTTTTGCAGTTAGCTTCCTATATGCCTCAGTGTTTGAACCATGTGAAATATTACATATTGTAAAAATTGAATGACATTTTAAAAGAATTAAGCTAACTTTTAGAATGGGGTAACTTCTCTTTTAAGAGGATATATCAAGCTGAAATTCACAATTTGTGAAATTTAACCTGTGTAATTTGACAAGATATTTTAAAACTATCAACTTAATCTGTATGATAAATTATATTAATACTGACAACAGTGAAATACTGAATATTTTGGAAGGAACTTGTGAATCATAAAATCAAATCTAATTTGTTAATTTTGCTCTATCATAATTGCATGTTTGGCAATCTATGTTTGATTGACAACAATATTGCCCTTAGGTCAGATAAACTAGATTACACTACAAAACCACAGGACAACACATTACCAGGAAACACAGTGAAAATGACTTGTATGCATTACTTTAATTTTTGAATATAATAAAAATAGTGAACATAAGACAGAATATAAACCAAAAATGGTAAAATACCTGTTTTTATAGATGGAGGTTCTCTTTCTCGATGTTCAGCTTTTTCTAGAGAAAGAAATCAAAATTCACTGGCAATCTGTGGATTCTTTGGCAAATATTTCTTATTTATATATTTGCAAGTGATCCTCAGTTTACCCAAGAGGCATGCCCCAAAGTCATTTTCATGTAATTTGAAACAAAGAAAGCATATTGCCATAAAAAAATTATAAACAGGGTTAGGTTCTTTCTCAGGACACCCAGGAAAAGGCTTTTTTCTACATTTGGCTGAAAGACAGTATTAGGGTTTTATCCCTTTGGGGGCTGTGTTGTATAAGAGGATAGAATATGGCAAAAAGGAGAATAAGAATATTGTTTTATTTGCTGAAAGTTGAATCATTCTTTGGGGACATTTTTAGTGGATGGTATTTGTCTTTGACATTTTATCAACTCCTCTTTTTTCCTCTTTGAATCCTAGTAACCTTCTTGCCAGTTAGAAGCAATGCACTGCTGAACACTAGTTTCTTATTGAAAATTTAAACTAAATCTGCTGTATTCCAGAGAGTGCCACATTTTGTATTTTTATTGACCTGTACCACCCTCCCTTTCCAGGTTTTCTTAAAACTCTCATAGCTGAATCTCAACTATTCTAGGATATGACAAAAAGAAATAAAAATGTATGAGTAATTGACATCCCTCTTAGTTCTCTGAAAAATATTTGAATTAAAAATTTTAAAGAGATCATTCTCTTTCATCAAAAGTGGAATTTAAAGTCAACCATATATGTGGGATATCTTGAATGGGATTGAGAATATCTGTCAATTGAGTAGGACTCTGGAACAGACCAAGTGTTACCTCTAATGACCTCTATGGTCAGTTCTTCTGAGCTGTTCTTGATGTTTACTTGTCCTTTCTTTCCCTCACTCTTGAATTTGGAGTTTCTCTAAACTTACTACTTTTCCCCCAAATTATGCACCAACACTGAAGTAGGTGGGAAGATGTGGGACTCCAGGTGTCATCAGACTAAACAGATATTCGTACATTAGGAACTGATAGCATTCAAGAATAAACTTCCATGAACTGAATTTGCATAAATGTTATAGTAAATAAGCATTCAAAATAAAAGAAAATGCAGCCAATATTCAAGGTATTAAACTGTTATAACAGCATTAATAATAAATCAAGGGAATAATAATAATATAAAATATATATTCAAAATACAATTCACAGATTCTAGGATGTGAATGTGTTCTGATTAGAGTCATTCATTTGTGCTATATAGCCTAAACCACTTATATGTATTCCTAAGCTGTGTCACACGTTCACCTTTGGGTCTTGTGAAGCTATTTTGCATGCAAGAGCCAGAATATATTTGACCAACAGCCATTCATGCATTTGTCTAAGCTTGTGTTTCACAAATGTACACCATTCAACGACCAACATCACAATTTTGACACAATATTGAATATATTTGCTACCACAGTGGGTAAATATTTATGCCTTCCTGAGTCCAAAAGTCATCTTTAAACTCTTCATCACTATACTCTCTGTGTCACACCTGTACAGTGAAATGAAGGATCTTCAAAGTCCACATTCATAAGGACATTTCATCATTGTAATGGACAAATGGCAAAATGTTTATAATTAAATGGATTTCTAAATGCCAAAGTTACCTACAGTTTAATTAATGCAGCTTAAAGCAAACAAATTAAAAACAGTATATGGTTCATAACACTGACAATTGTATATCATTTCATTTTCTGTTATTCATTACGTATGTTTAAAAGATTTCCAACCTACCTTAACTTACTGTGAGTGGTATTTTATAGCCTATATGGATTCCCTCTTTTAATATTAACCACAGTGACAGACTTCTGGATATTTCTTTTGTATAGTTATAATCATTAATTAGTAGTGATTTAATTAATCATTAATTATTAATCATTAATTGGTAGATTGATTTAACAAGAATGTTAAATCAATGCCATAGCAATAACATTAATTTATCACTAACAATTAAATAGCAATAACATTAATTTATTATTAACAGTTATTTAGACACAGACAACACTGAAAATAACATTTTTCTTAAAAAAACTAAGCAAAATTGTTAAAGCTGAAATGGTCAAGCGATATTTCTCAGGTGTTATTCTATTCATCTCTTACTTGTTGGTTTGGGCTTGGCTGTGGAGAATGGAGGCAAGCACATGGCATATTGATGAGTACAAACCATGGAAAAAATAACTGTTTAGTATTTGTATTTACTTATTCTTAGTTTTAGGTCACCTCCTTAGCTTAAACTTAACCTGTTTTCTTTGACCACTAATATTTTACTGTCAGCAAATACATTAATCAAACTGCAAAAAACTAGTAAGACACATGCTACGCACATAAAATTTAAAACAATCTATATATTTGAGTCACAAATACATTGAGCTAGCTTCTTCATAATTCCCAAACATCCATACAACTGAATGAGATACTCAGGTGGCCATATTAATACCTTAGGGTGCAAATTAAAGGAACATTTACTAAAATTATAAACTTAGGCAGTGGTCGGAAGAAAGTATAATGGTCATATGAAGTAATGTGAAAACGGCCTTATGAGATTTCTTTCTTTCTACTTATAAACTAGTCTATAATTTCTAGGAATAATTGGATCTCTCCTGAATTCTATTATATTTTTTCCTCCAAGAAACTATTTAAATCCTTATTATCTGATTATCTCAGGGAAAAACATGTTTCACAGAGTTTTTCTTTTGGAATGATTATTAGTAAGAGATGGGATTCTCTTAATGGCTGAGGTGGGTAGGATTTCTGTCTTGGAATCAAACAGAGGAAGTTCAGTGACTCAGATGTGAATTGATTTCAAGACTCATAAGTTTTCTTTTTCCTTACAGGAAAAACTTCTGAATTGCAAGAGTATGTATCTTTTCTTTCTCATATGAACTAATGATAGATGGAGTGTTTTTACTTTAATATTTTATGTTCTGTTGATCATTCTCTAAGGCAGACTTTAAAGTTATATAACCATATCCCTCTCTATGGAGCTTCCATGAAAGTAAATTATTCCAGCTAATTTATAAATAGTAGAAAGTTTCAGACTTCTGTAATTTTAAGATTTGAGGAAATGTGGTTTAAAAATAAGATTAAACACCTAAGTATACATGGTAATCAATGCATTATATAGATTTTCTCATGAATTACACATAAGCTTAGCTCAATCACACTTAAAGTTATGCTACTCTAGCTATTATTTTTTAACAAAAATTATATTGAACATATTTTTAGTTATTCACAAGAATTCAGAATGTTAGAAGTTATGGTACTGAAAGCCTACACACTTCAGTGAAGGGCTGTGTGTGTGTGTGTGTGTGTGTGTCTGCATGCACACATATGAGTGCACCACATAACATATAATGAGACATAGAAAAAAATATAAAATACCTTATTTACCTGTTTTTTCTATTGTGACAGCTTTTACCTGCTTGAGAACTTTTTCTTCTGTGATAGGAAAAAATGTTAACACAAGTAGGAAATTTGAATACATCAGTGACATATTTCAACCATGATTTTTGTATTCTTTTGAAATAGTGCCAATGCCAAGAAAAACTTGTTGCCTCAATAAAACAGCAAAAACATCTTCTATTCAAATTGGATGAAAGCACAAAGAAAATCTGTCCAGCTGAAATGTCCTTTGCAGCTATCTTGCTATAGAAGTTTTCCTAACTTAAATTGTTCCCTAACATGCCAATATGAGCCCTATTTTTTGCCTTCACTGTATTTCAGTGTATTTATCTGCCCAGAGGTACTGCTTTATAAAATATATGTTCCCTTACTATTATTAAATTAGAATAGGAAGGAGCAATTTTTTATCTTCTTGTACTGATACCTCCCTGGGAACCCAGGAATAGGTGGAGAACCCAAATTTCTTACAGTGTGAAGCTGGGGAAGAACAAAGTTGATGCCTTTGTGGGATGTCCTTTGTTCTCAGTGATTTTTCATAGTCAAAGATGTTTGGGTCAAAGTAAAGAGATTATTGCCCTGATACTACATGAAATTAAACTTCTCAAGCATTTCACACTGGGTATGAATCAACTGATCAAATATCCTAAGTAGAAAGTTTCACTGGATAACAGAGAATTTAAAGAGCATGGTGGTGTAACTGAAGTAAAAGAGTTGTTCCTACAAGACAATGCATTTGATGTACGCTCAGAGACTAAAGTCTGTCACTTCTCTTTATTTCACCTCAAGTTGGCTAATATTTGGGACATAAGAAAATAACAATGTTTCATTTAATGAGGAGCTTCTGAAAGTTGTTTCTAAGGTTCTGCTTTTGTCAATACAGACAGCTCTTCTCACCTCTCCACACTCCAGCCCTGCTTTCCTTATTCCTATATTTTCTGTTGTTGGTGTATCACAGTTTTTTTAAAAGCATATGCAAAACAAATCACACAGACTAAAACCCATTGTATACAGATTTTCTGAAGTACAATTTATAAAAGTAAGCAAAGGATTTCCTAAGATTTGTTTAGAGCAAGTATGTTTTTCACTTTTCAAAGATTCTGGCCTAACTATATTCACAAATTGGGTACATATTTCAGCCTGGAATGAAAAATAATATTCTACAGAATAATCAGGGCTTGGGTAGCCTCAAAATTAAATTCATATTTAATTAGCTGAAATAAAAACTTGTTTTTATTCTTAAATAAAAATTAATTCATAACCTTGTTTTGATAAATTATGTATCTTTTTTTTACAAGCAGAACATATTAGCTTACTTCTACTTTCTACAAAATGCAAGACCAGGAATAAAAAGAAAATAAGAAAGGGAAGGAAGGGTGAAGAAAATAAAGAGTCAGGAAAAGAAGCATGGAGAAATGTTGATTTCTTCAGCATTTTTGGGACTTGGAGAGTCTAAAATGATCATATTTTAATAAGCCAATCTGAATTACAAGTTTGCTCAGAATGCCTTGCCCAAATCAGAATAAAACAGAAAGTATAGAGCCCATTCATCTAAGTGCTGGGTGACTATGGTTTTTGTGCAAAGCTAACTCTCTGGTGGGAAGGGAAGACTAGTTGTCTAGTTACATCTCACTGGTTAAGTTCTCAGCACAAAAAAAAATTCTGAAGATGACTAAAATTGGAGATGGTCTAGAAGCTTATGACTTAAGACATGAATTGTCCCAAATAACTTTAGACTTGACTCTAAACTCTTCCTTCTGCTAAAATTAGAACATTGAGAGGTTATTTGAGACTACAAATACCACCTGCAAAATACCTGGTTTACCATGAGAAACAGTCTTTTCTGGTTTCACTATGTCTTGTTCTGAAAATAATAAAAAGAAAATCTTTTTTAGGTATTTAGAAGCTGGGAAAATAGCTAGCAGATTTTAGCAAATGTGCCCATAGAGAAAAAATATTCTGAAATCTTCATATCATCCTTGTTTCTATGTAAAACTTAAAGGTTTTAGTTCATGAAAACAATATGCCAAGAATTCTTATTTACAAAATTTTTGAAACTATAGTTTTCAAAACACAGGCTGTAATAAAACATAAATATAAAAGCACAGGTTGAAAATACATGATTTTGAAAACGTTTCAATATTTTTTCGTAAGAAAGTCTAAGCATAAAAGATAAAATTAATACATACTGTGTATTTGCACTTTTTCAGATATAGCTAAAATAAATAAATAACATATTAGATTAAATTACCTGCAAAATGGAGTATTTAACAATAACAAATACAACTGGTTATTGTAAATAGAACTAGGCATAACTAGCTTTAAATAGTACTGGGTTTCTGGTTAAAGAAAAGTAAAACTGGCAAAAATACAAAATGCTTATATCTGGTAAAACATATCCACCTACAGCAGATAAATATAATCAGGAAAATAAATAATAAAATACTAATAAATCATAATAATATTTGTAATGTAACAAGGCTGTTATGATCCTTAATATATTGTAAATATATCACAAGAGCAACTATATTCAAGCTTATGATCAGTTGCCAGGTAAGTTCTGGTGAGAATTCAGGGGCTGAGGTACTACTGAATATGTGTCTAGATTTGTATTCTTGATTTGTTGATATTGAAGAATCTTGCTAAGTAATCTTTTATAATGAAGAAATAGCTACCATAGAGCCTGAGGGTTTTTTTGAACTTGCCTCAGGTCAATTGCTAGTTGGTACCAGAGGTATGACTTAAACACTAAAAAACAATGTAGACTTGGAAAGGTCATACTTTTTTTTAGGTCAATGCTACCTTCTAATAAAATGATAGCATTTTAGGGACAATCTCTTAATGGGGGTACCCAGGGTTTGGTGCAAATCAGACACGGGGCAGACCCCTAGCTTCAACATTGATTAACTTGAAAATCCTGGAATAATAACTTATTTTCTGAACTTGATCTATTGAACTGCTTCTTCAGATATTAAGTATAGGTAATAATGGCCATGCTGTCTGTTTCTCATAATGATATGATGAAAGTAAAAATCCTATGCTAGTCCTTAGCTCACAATAGATGCTTAATAAATTCTTGCTCTCATTCCCTTCAAACCACAATAGTCTATAACTTTATGATTTTATAATTCTGGTATATTACTGGAAATACTTCAGAATTATAAAAACAAAGCCACCAGAATTATGAAAATAAAGCCATAAGTTAAGCATGATTATTATTAATTTCATAAAAACCTTAGAAATGTCTCCAGAAACCTAGAGTCTCTGTTGAGATTTATTTAAGGCCATTTTCTAGGTGTTTTAGTCTAGGGAATATTCCCATTCTCACCTAATCCAGTGCTATAAAATCATGTTGAGCAATGGAGTTGACAAAATAATGAGGAACTTGGAGACTATGTGCATGTCTCCCTAGTGAGATGTAAGCCTCTTTTAGTACTTAATAAAATAAAGATAATGTCAACTCTGAATCTATATAAAATAAAGCTCATGTTACCTGGTTTTGCTTCTTTTTTAATTTGGGGCTCTGAGGGAGAGAAAAGGCAGAAAATTTAAAACCTGAAAAAATAAACTAGAATGAAAATTAATTTTTAGAAATAATTTTATTTGGTTATCATAATTGGGAGGATGAGGCAGGAGAATTGCTTGAACCCAGGAGGCAGAGGTTTCAGTGAGCTGAGATCATGCCACTGCACTCCAGCTTAGGTGACAGAGCGAGACTCCGTTTCAAAAAAAAACCAGTTTTACACTGGTTTGCCAATGATGGACTATTAAACATGAAACAGAAACATGCTTTGCACTTGTCTGTGAAATTGTTGCTATAGCTCATTCTTTTAAATCTAAATTTTCTACTTTTTTCTAAGATGATTATTGCAGAAAATAGTTCCAAAGTCAACATAAGATAAATTATTTTAACAACAAGAGTTGGAAGAGACTCTTTGAAATAGATCTAATTGGGTACTTACGTGATTTAGGAATTGAGACAAATAATGTTATGGCTCAAATGTGTTCTCCCAAACAATCTGTTGAGTCCTAACCCCCAGTACCTAAGAATGTAACCTTATTTGGAAATAGGGTTGCTACTGATGTAATTAGTTAAGGTAAGATGAAGTCATGCTAGAGAAGGGTAGGTTTTTAATCCAATATGACTATTGTCCTTATAAGAAGAGGAAAAGAGACACAAATAGAGAAGATGACCACGCGATAATAGAGGCAGAGATTGAAGTCATATATCTTCACACCAAGAAACACCGAAGATTGCCAGAAAACACCAGAAGCTAGGAGAAGCAAACAAATATTCTCCTCTACGGTTTTAAAAAGAAGTGTTGCTTTGTCAACACCTTGATTTTGGACTTTTAACTTCCAAAATTGTGAGAGAGAAAAATTTCTCCAGTTTTAAGCAACACAATTTGTGATATTTTATTGTAGCCATCCAAGGAAACTAATCAATTTTGGTTTAGGAACATAGGTGCTGCTGAAACAAATACCTGTACATGTAAAAGTGGTTTTGAAATTGGGTAATGGGTAGAGTCTAGAATAATTTTGAGACACTTAATATAGAAAGCCTAGATTGCTTTGAAGAGATTATTGGCAGAAATATTGACATTAAAGGTTATTCTGATGAGGGCTCAGAAAGAACTCAAGAGAGCTATAGAGAAAGCTCTTGTCATTTTAAATGATACATTTGTGACTTAGTCCATTTTGTGCTGCTATAATAGAATATCACAGACTGGGTAATTTACATAGAACAGAAATGTATTTCTTATACTTCTAGAGACCGTGAAGTTTGGGATTAAGGTATTAGCAGGTTTGGTCTCTGGTTTGGAGATAATGCCTTGTTACTGTGTCCTTCAGAGAGAAGGAATGCTGTGTCCTTACAGGGCAAAGCCAAAAGGGGAAGACAGCAGGCTAGCTGAACACTGCACGGAGCCTCTTTTATAATGGCCTTGTTCCCATTCACAAAAGAGGAGCTCTTATGGCCTAATCACCTCTTCAAGGCTCCAGCTGTCAATACTATTTATTACACAGGTAACACATAAATTTTGAGAAAACACATTCAAATCATATAGATATATATTATTGTAAGTAGAAGTAGAATGTTGCTAGAAATATGAGTTTTAAAGATGAGGTCTCAAGAAAATGAGGAACATGTTATTGGCCACTAAAGGAAAGGTAATATTTTTTATAAAGTGGCAAAAAACTTAGCTTAATTGTGTTCTTCTGTTAGGTGGAAGATGGAAATAGTAAGTGAATACTTAAAAATTTAGCTAAGAACATTTTCAAGCAAAGTATGGAAGGTGCAAACTGATTTCTCCTTGTTGTTTATAATAAAATGTGAAAAGAAAGATACACATAAATTGAAGAAGATACCGTTAATCGAATAAGAACTGGCACTTACTGATTTGAAAATTCTCAGCCTATCTAGACAGTGTGCCATGGAGATAGAGCCAAGGTTGTGGTTGGACAAACTTTTGCTAAAGAGGTTAGATGTATGACTCATGGAGCCACTTCAGCAGAAGACAGAAATAGAGATGTGGTTATCCAGGAAACATCTGTGGAGGACCCTCTTATCTAATGGCTTAGACGCCCCATGAATTGAATGTGACACTAGTCAGGTTTTCGAGAATTTTAAAGAAGCAAAAACAATGCCAGCCTGGACAAAAAAGGGACAGAGACATGATAAAATGAAGGGATAATGACTCCAGAGAAAAGCCATGAATTCAAACGCCTGGGTTAATGGGACCTCCTGTGGTGGAGAAGGCAGGGCTGTCAGCACACTGAGCTAAGAGGACAGGGCCACTGTTCCACCAGTCCCAGAGTACAGAGCACTGAGCCAGAAAGAATATTCTCAGGCTTTGAAATATGCTAGGTTTTGGATTTGCTTAGGACTCAGGACCTCTTTTTATTTTATTGCAATTTCTTCCCTTTAAAAGGGGAATGTCCATCCTATACGTATCTCATCATTTTATTTTGGGAGTAAATAATTTGTTTCATGTTTTCACAGGTTCAAAAAGAGAAGAGGAATTTTGCTGAAGGAAGAATCATACTCCAAGTTTTATATGTAACTGATTTAGATGATTTAGATAATGAGATTTTGAACTATTGATTGATAGTTAGATGAAATTTTGGACTTAGAACCATGCTAGAATGGTTAGGACTTTTAGAAATGTTGGGATGGGGTGAACATATTTTGCACCTATGGAGGACATAAATTTTGGGCCAGCCAGAGAATGGACTGTTATGGATTTAATTGCATCTCTCCAAAAGGTATGCTTACATCCTAACCTCCAGTACCTTAAAATAGGAACTTGTTTGTAAATAGGGTTATTGCAGATGTAATTAGTTAAGATGTGGTCATGGGGCAGTAGGGTGGGTATTTAATCCAATATGACTGGTGTACTTATTAGAGGAGAAGGGTTTACAGAGCTAGAGACACAAAGGGAGAAGGTTTCCATGTGATGATGGAGGCAGAGTTTGAAAGTGATGCATCTACAAGCCAAGGAACACCAAGGATTGCTGGAAAACACCAGAAGATGCAAGGAAGGATTTCTCTCTACAGATTTCATGGAAAGCATGTCCCTTGTGACACCTTCATTTTGGACATCTACTCTCCAGAACTGTGAGACAATAAATTTCTGTTGTTTTAAGCCACCCAGTTTGTGGAATTTAAGCCACCCAGTTTGTGGAATTTTACTACAGTAGCCCTACAACAATAATACAATTATGAAACATTAAACAAAATTTTAACTGTGTTCAGAACCAGACAGTTGAGTGTTCTTTTGAAAAAGTTTCTACTGCCTACTGTAGCCTTCAGAAATGTTCATCTGACTCAGAAGCCTCAAAAGAGAGAAGGATGAGAGCAGATGTTTTGCTGATTGAATGTCTGTGTCCTACAATAATCAGAGAAAATCTTGGTTTTGTGGGAATCAATTCAATTACTTAGTTACTTCTTCTGAACCATGTAAATTTCTCAGATATTTCACCTATGCAAATAGAGGTTTTTCTAGAAATGGGTAGCATAGAGAAATATATATTTTGTTAGTTTTTTTTTAAGTTGGTCAAGGATAAAATTTGATAAAATATTTGTACTAGGACATGACATTTGCAAAGAGATATTGTGCTATTTATTCTAAACATGGAAATCATATATGTGTATAAATAAAATATACATACCTGGCTTCTCTTCCTTTTTTCCTTGTAGTTCTAAAAATATAGATGAACATTAGTAACAATGATTATAGAAAGATATTCATTTCCTATATACTTGTGCATATTTATTTTTATATAATTATTTTCTATGTTATTCATTGGTTTCAATCTCCTATTAACTTCGAAAAGTTCATGTCATATTAACCATATTCTTATGATTGTGGCAAACTAGTACGTAACAACAGATTCCTCACTATTATTCCAGTAAGAAATATTTTGAGAGCCAGGCATGGTGGCTCATGCCTGTAATCTTAGCACTTTGGAAGGCCAGCCAGGTGTGTTGGTGCGTGCCTGTAATCCCAGCTACTGGGGAGGCTGAGGCACAAGAATCACTTGAGGCTGGTAGGCAGAGGTTGCAGTGAGCAGAGATCACACCACTGCCCACTGCCTGGGCAACAGAGTGAGACTCTGTCTCAAAAAAATTTTTTTTGAGAAAATAATGGAAATCTGAGCTGAGATTTTTAATGACAAGGTAAGGAAAGATGCTTCCAGTGAATAAAAGATAAAGGAAAATTTTGGTATAGCATTTTCTCAGAAATACATGTAAGAAAATGAGTACATTGTCTACACAAAACAAGCCTTTGACTTTAAGCAAAATATTCAACATGAAATCAAGATAAATAACAGCATGCATTTAAGATTTGTTTTATGTATGTATGTACATATGTACGTGTTTGTTTATTGAGCATGCATATAACATACGTGGAGGTTTAGGCTTGACTTCTTTGCCTAGAAAAAAGTAAAAAAATTATTAAAGGCTGAGTCATACAATTCTTATTAAATTAACATTATTGAATATGATATAATATATTTGAAAATAAAAATGAAACAATGTAGACCCCACCTATCCTTTTTTGTTGAAATTCTATAGAATGTGTAACTTATGGCTAAGTTCTTTAGTGCAAGATTGGCAAACTTTTTCTGTAACTGTCAGATAGTGTATATTTTCAGGTTTTAGGCCATATAGTCTCTCACAATTCTTCATTTGTGTGAATATAGAAGTAGCCATAGATAATAATGTAAATAAATATGACTGACTGTGTTCCAATAAAACTTTATAAAAACTAGTGGCCAGTCTGTGGGCCATTTTGTCAGCCTCTGCTCTATTCATAGTCAGTTTTAATTTTCTCTCTTTTTTGCATCAACAAATATTTGAATAGTCAACACTTTTCTCTGATTCTGTTTTCTTACAAATGCCATCTAGTACCTGTCTGTCACTGTTCAACTCAACTTTTTAAGGAATATCATCTTTACTTGTTTTTTCTACTTCTCACTCCCACTTCATCATTAATTCACTGTAATCTAGTTTCTAGCTCCACCATTCTATGGATTAGTCTCTCTGGTCACCAATTTCCCATTACTTTCCAAGACTAATGAACATATTTGACCATATTGATCACTTTCCCTTTCTTTTTAAGTTCCTGTTCACTTGGCTTTTGGGAAAGGTAAACATAATATGTATGCTCTACTGTAATGAGATAAATATTAATACTGCCTTCTTTTAATTTCAAAACTATCCTAGTAACTTTTTCTTTTAGCAAAGATAACATAACAGGGGTCTAATTACTCCTCATACTGGAAATTAAGGAAAACAGACAAAATACATAAAACAATGGTTTTAAAGATATTGAACATCAGACAACAAAGAACAGTGATACTTTAGTGATGGGAAACAAATGAGATGTACCCTGTGATTGCTTCCGCTTAGTGCTTGGAGAAAGTTACAAGGCCTTAGTGCAGCAATGAGTTGCCTAGCAAATCACGGAGCTTATAAGATGGAGCTGGTAGTCTGGAAAGGCCAAGACAGTCAGTTATCACAGATCAGAGTAAGGTAGAGCAGAGAGCAGCAGAGAAGAGGAAGGGAGTTCTGGAGATGTGTGGAAGGTGACATTAAGTCATCAGAAGAGCACTGAACAGCATATACACACAAATAAACTACTTGAGGCCAAGGAAAGAAAAAATGGAAAGAATTTTAAAACTTTATAATAAGCTTTGAAGTTCAATAGCGTCAATCTTCCAACTTTGTTCTTTGTCTTCGGTACCGTGTTTGCTATTCTGGATCTTTTTCCATTCCACGTAAACTTTATATTCAGTTTGTCAACACACACAAAATAATTTTCTGGGAATTTTCCATAATTGCATTGACTCTATAGGTCAATTTGGAAAGAATTGACACCTTCATAATTTTGAATCTTCCTATCTACATATAGTATCTCTCTATCTAGATGTTCTTTGACTTTTTTCATCATCAGGGTTTAGTCCCCTCACTATTTTCTTTTTGTTCCTCTTCTTTTCTTTCTTTTTTTTTTTTTTTGGCTAACCTCTGCTTAAGGCCTAGTTTAGCTGTCTCTTTCTCAGAAGCCTTTTTCTGATGCAGCGGAATTGCTTACTCCTTTTATGTGCTAATACTACTTGGTAGATCTCTTTATCATTATGTTAGTCATAATCTATTGCAAGTATCAACTTAAGTGAATGCCTTCTTTTCTACATTGTGAGATATTTGGGGACAGTGGTCATGTGTATCTATCATTGAATGCAGGGAATTGGTGCGATTCCTAATACATGGTGATAAGATAGGCTCTCATTCTTTTTTTGCTCATTAGATAAATAAGTAAAACAAATAAGGTAAAAAATTGAGAAATTGAGCAAAAATGAATGTAGAAAAATATATAAATTTAGGAATTGTATTAAACACAAAATACATGTTACAGTTACTGCATAGTTTCTTTGACTTGGGTTGCAAATTTACCTCTCATCTTTCTGATATTCAGGCGGAAAAAAAAGCACAAATGTTAAACCATTTACAGTGTTCTTAAGATGTAAATACTTACTCTGTTTAAGAGAAGCAGAGTAATCACTGGCAATGATAACTGAGATAAATTTGTTTCCTGGGTTCTCAGAACAAAAGGCTGAGAACCTTTTGTTAATGTAAATAACCTTTTGTTAATGTAAATAACAGCCTCAGCAATATTTTTACCCTAAATGTGTGATGGCTTTTACAGAACCCCACCTACTGCTCTTAACATGCACCAGAGATACAATACAAAGCACAGTTCAATAAGAGGAAAGTCACTTTTGGCCCAATAAATGTGATTTAGGGACATAGCTATGTGCTCTGGCTAAATGTAAGGATAAAATCAAGGTTATGGAGATTCTCTCCAGTGGTAGGAAAGGATAATACATAGTCATATTTCTTTCTGAGAATCTAACACATGTATTGACACAATCCTCTAAGAAACATGAATGGAAACACCAAAAAACCCTAAAATACACATACAATTGTGTGAAAATATGTGTGTTCAGTTGTGCTCTTAAAGCCCAACTAGATTAAGAAAATGTTGACTTAATAGTTCTGCTATTTATAAAACCAAGTTGTGATAAACACAGGACACCTGCCTATTCCCACAAAGCTGTCCAATTATAAAATTTGGTTTCCGAGTTAGTTGTCTACATGCCATGTCCTATATCAACCTCATCAGCATTCACATAACATCTCTCTAGTTATTCAGCTTTCTCTTTATACTATCTATCCATTAGAAGCTGACTTCTGTCTCCCAAAATACATGTGGAAGTCCAGACGCCCAGTACCTTATGAATGTGCCTTGTGTGGAAATAGAGTTTTTGCAGTTATAATTAAGTTAAGATGAGATCATTATCCTGGGCCCTAATCCAATATGACTAGCGTTATGATCAAAAGAGGAAAAGAGATACAGAGATGGACAAACATAGAGGGAATGTAATATGAAGACACACAGAGAGAATACTGTGTGACAACAGAGGCAGAGACTGGAGGATGGGAGTGATGCATCTACAGGCTCAGCTTCAGAATTTATATATGTATCAATAGTCAGAGGTCTACAATGAACTATATATAGTTCTACATATATAAGTTCTATATATACATTCTATAAGTCTATATAGTTTAGCCTGTTAACAATTCTAGCTCCACAGTCATTATTGAATAATGTCAATAAAGGCTTGTACATAATCTGTTTTATACCAAATTTCTTCCTAAGATGATTAATCAACAGTGATCAACAGTGAAATAATATCATTTAATAATCTTTCTGATCCACATATCTGTAAATAGATTTAACATATTTTAACAGATATTTGTCAAATTACTATATTAATTCATTCATAAAGAAACTTTCTGTTATATTTATATTAAACTGTATAACTACATCTACAATGTGAGATAAACATATCAAAAACCAATCTAGAGTGCGCTAAAGCCTATATATTATGTGGTTTAGAATTTTCATTGTAAAAGTAGAAAAAAGTAAACTTTCCAAATACAAGTAACAAACTGAACTTTCATGAATTTATTCACAAAATTCATAATTTGCTTAATTATGTCACAGAAACTGCTCTATTAGATCAAATGAGGAAATTAGTCCTGTTCCTCAACAGAGATTTATTATATTTTAACTTTGTCAAGACAATATAAGTCATTATCATAAAATTTGACTTTTGTAAAATTTGTAAGTGTAATATTATTTGGGGCATATAACACATATAAAGATCTTCACTGGAAAAACTTTTATTTAGGTGATCTTATAAAGACTCATTAAGTAAGTCCATTAAAGTTTAATACAAGATAATAATTTGGTATAAGAGCAGTAGGACATTATAAATTTTATAATGCAAAAGGAAAGAATTTTAAAACTGAAAAGATCCTGGAAATCATCGGAATAGCTTTTTTAATGGGCCACAAAACAAGTCCTTAAAAATTTCAGAAAATTGAAATGATAACAAGTACTCTTTCAGACCACAGTGGAATAAAATTAGAATTCAATTCTAAAAGGAACCTTCAAAACTATAAAAATACATGGAAATTAAATAACATGCTTCTGAACGATCATTGGGTCAACAATGAAATCAAGATGGACATTTAAAAATTCTTTGAACTCAATGATAATAGTGAAACAAGCTATCAAAAAGTCTGTGACACAGCAAAGGTGGTGCTAAGAGGAAAATTCATAGCCTTAAATGCCTACATCAAAAAGTCTAAAAGAGCACAAATAGACAATCTAAGGTCACACCTCAAGGAACTAGACAAACAAGAACAAACCAAACCCAAACCCAGCAGAAGAAAAGAAATAACTAAGATCAGAACAGAAATAAATGAAATTGAAACAAACAAAAAATATATAAAAGATAAATGAAACAAAAAGATGGTTCTTTGAAAAGATAAATAAGATTAACCAAGGAAACAAGAGAGAAGATCCAAATAAGCTCAATTAGATACAAAAATGGGAGATATTACAACTGACACCACAAAAATATGGAAGATTATTCAAGGCTACTATGAACACCTTTACACACACAAGCTAGAAAACCTAGATGAGATGGATAAATTCCTGGAAATATGTAACCCTCCTAGCTTAAATCAGGAAGAATTAGAAACCCCCAACAGATCAATAACAAGCAGCGAGACTGAAATGATAATAAAAAATTACCAATGAAAAAAAATTCCAGGAATTGGGTGGATATACCCAATTCTTTAAATGTCTGATAGAATTCTGCTGTGAATATTTCTGGTCCTGGAATTTTTTTTCATTGGTAATTTTTTATTACCATTTCAGTCTCTAAATGATGAGTTAATAGGTGCAGCACACCAACATGGCACATATATATATATATATATGTAACAAACCTGCACATTGTGCACATGTACCCTAAAACTTAAAGTATAATAAAAAATAAATAAAATGCACTAACTCTTGCCCCCCCCCCAAAAATTGGTACCAATTCTGTTGACATTATTCGACAAGACAGAGAAAGAAGGAATCCACCCTAAATCATTGTATGAAGCCAGCATTACCCTAATACAAACAAGAAAGGGACATAACAAAAAAGAAAACTACAGATCAATATTCTTGATTAACATAGATGCAAAAACTCCTTACCAAAATACTAGCTAACCAAATCCAGCAGCATATCAAAAAGACAATCCATCATGATCACGTGTGTTTCATACTAGGGATGCAGGGATGGTTTAACATATACAAGTCAATAAATATGATATACCACATAAAGAGAATTAAAAACAAAAATCACATGATCATCTGAATAGACACAGAAAAAGCATTTGATAAAATCCAGCATCACTTTATGATTAAAACCCTCAGCAAAATTGGCATACAGGGGAAACCCCTAAATGTAATAAAAGCCATCTACCACAAACCCACAGCCAGCGTAACACTGAATGGGAAAAAGTTGAAAGCATTCCCTCTGAAAACTAGAACAGGACAAGGATGCCCACTCCCACCACTTCTGTTCAACATAGTACTGGAAATTCTAGCCAGATCAATCAAACAAGAGAGAGAAATAAAGGGCATTCAAATCAGTAAAGAGGAAGTCAAACTGTCGCTGTTTGCTGAGGATATAATTATACGCCCAGAAAACCCTAGACTTCTCCCAAAAGCCCCTAGAACTGATAAATGAATTCAGCAAAGTTTGAGGATACAAAATTAATGTACACACATCAGTAGCTCTGCTATATACCAGCAGTGACCAAGCTGAGACTCGAATCAAGAACTTGACCTCTTTTACAATAGCTGCAAAAAAATTAAAATACTTAGAAATATACCTAACCAAGGAAGTGAAACACCTCTACAAGGAAAACTACAAAACAGTGCTGAAAGCAATCACAGACAATACAAACAAATGGAAACATATCACATGCTCATGGATGGATAGAATCAGTATTGTGAAAATGACCAGGGTAGAATCAATATGTGAAAATGACCACATTGCCCAAAGCAATCTACAAATTCAGTTCAATTCCCATCAAAATACCATCATTATTCTTCACAGAACTAGAAAAAAAAATCCTAGAATTCATATGGAACCAGAAAAGAGCCACAGAGCCAAAGCAAGACTAAGCAAAAAGAACAAATCTGGAGGCATCACATTACATGATTTCAAACTATATTATAAGGCCACAGTCACCAAAACAGTGTGGTACTGGTATAAAAATAGGCACAAAGACCAATGGGAAAGAATAGAGAACCCCAAAATAAAGCCAAATACTTACAGATTGCTTTTGACAAAGCAAAGTAAAACGTAAAGTGGGGAAAGGACACCCTATTCAACAAATGGTGCTGGGACAATTGGCAAGCCACATGTAGGAGAATGAAACTGGATCCTCATTTCTTACCTTATACAGAAATCAACTCAAGATGCATCAAGGGCTTAAAACTAAGACCTGAAACTATAACAATTCTAGAAGATAAAATCAGAAAAACCCTTCTAGACATTGGCTTAGGAAAAGACTTCATGAACAAGAATCCAAAAGCAAATGGAACAAAAACTATGATAAATCGGTGGGACTTAATTAAACTAAAGAACTTCTGCACAGCAAAAGGAACAGTCAGCAGAGTAAACAGACAACCTACAGAGTGGGAGAAAATCTTCACAATCTATACATCTGACAAAGAAATAATATCCAGAATCTACAAGGAACTCAAACAAATTAAAAAATCCCATCAAAAAGTGGGCTAAGGACATGAACAAATAATTCTCAAAAGAAGATACATAAATGGCCAGCGAAAATGTGAAAAAATGTTCAACATCACTAATAATCAGGGAAACACAAATCAAAACCACAATATGATACCACCTTACTCCTGCAAGAATGGCCATAATCAAAAAATTAAAAAATAATAGATGTTGTCATGGATGCAGTGAAAAGAGAACACTTCTACACTGCTGGTGGGAATGTAAGCTTTATAACCACTTTGGAAAACAGTTTGGAGATTTCTTAAAGAACTAAAAGTAGAACTATCATTTGATCCTTCAATTCCACCACTGGGTATCTATCCAGAGGAAAAGAAATTATTATACTACAAGGATACTTGCACAGACATGGTTATAGCAGCAGAATTCACAATTGCAAAAACATGGAATCACCCCAAATGCTCATCAACCAATGAGTTGATGAAGAAATTGTAGTATAGGTCGGGCATGGTGGAATACTACTCAGACATAAAAAGGAACGAATTAATGACATTCACAGCAACCTGGATGGAACTGGAGACTATTATTCTAAATGAAGTAACTCTGGATTGGAAAGCCAAACATTGTATGTTCTCACTCATGAGTGAGAGATAAGCTATGAGGATGCAATGGCATAAGAATGAAACAATGCATTTTGGGGACCAGTTTGAAAGGGAGGGAGTGGGGTGAGGGATAAAAGACTACAAATTGGGTTCAGTGTATACTGCTCGGGTGATAAGTGCACCAAAATCTCACAAATCACAACTGAAGAACTTACTCATGTAACCAAATACCACCCGTTCCCCCAAAACCTATGAAAAAATAAAATAAAATACGAGGAATTAAAAAAACACACACACACATCAGGTTTCACAAACTCTTCAGCATGTGGGGGAGTGTTGTGTGTCTGTGTTTTCCCACTGAGAAGTCCTTGTCAGTCTAGGTTCTAGTGCAATGGTCCTCAAAGTGTACTTTCCAGAGCAGCAGCAGCAGCAGCAGCACCTGGGGAGTTGCTAGAAATGTAGCTACTTGGACTCCATTCCAGACCTATCAAATCAGAAACTCTGGAGGTGGGGCCCAGGAATTTGTCACTTAACATCCTTCTCAAATGATCCTGATGGCCACTTAGATGTACAAATTATTGCTCTGAAGGGATAAAATCATCATTCACCACATATAGTGCATAAAAGGATAATTTATTAGAATTTGTTAATCAACAGATAAGAAGCACAGAAAGAGTGCAAAGAGGTCTTAATGATGAAATCTCACCAATAAAATATAAACATCTTTTAATTCTTTTACATTTCCAGTTTCATGAATTCGTATATTCAGTTAAGATACTGGACCCATTTCAAATCTGAAGACATTTCACAGTTAAGCACATATCCAAATATATTAATGAATACAGTGTCTGTATATGTCTGTCTATCCATGGTCTAAGCCTACGTACTCCCTAAGGTCTATATTTAGGCAGCAATAGTAAGCCCAAGAGTAGATTACTGGGGGAGAATTCTGTAAGGCAGTGGTTCTCAAACAACAATATCACATAAGAACTTATTAGAAATGTAAATTTAATCTTCCAGGTGTACCTGATGCATGTTGAAATTTGAGAACCACTGTTTGATAACCGTAGTTGCTTTTTTTAAGAGCATTCATGTAACACAAAGGAATGGCTGTTTGTCACAATTCTGAGTCCCACGTAATTGTATATATTATGTTTCAGCAAATAAGGCTTAATTAGAGTCAGAGAGAAAGTTTTCAGTCTACTGAGACATCAATAGATAAAGCTAAAAACAGAGCATGCTTGTGTTGATCATGGTATGTCAACTTTTCAATCCCAATGACAGTAATATTCAAATTAGACATTTGTGATTGAGGTCTATAAAATATATGATATGAAATCAAATTTATATAAGAAAAAATATTTTAACAAACAAAATCAAATAATAGACTTGATGTTCTAATGGAGGTAATAATTGGCTGTGTATGATGGAATATGTTTCAAATAGTGAGTAGCAATATAAGAGTAGACACACACACCCATATATGTTTATTGTAATGATAGGGACTTTAGCCTTATTTTTTATTATAGTTATTATATTTTCTATATTTTCCAAATTTCTTTAATTGCATTAAAAGCAAACAAAATGTCAATGGCATGTTTCCATTTATACCCTATTATGCATAGATTAATTTTTAAAATAAAAATATAAAGGTCACATTCAATGAATTAGCAAAGGAATTAAAAAGGAAAAATCAAGTGTTCCAAAAACACACAATAGGAAAAGAACAATCTCTTTAATAAACAGTGCCAGGAAAACTGGATATTCACATGCAGAGAAAGAAATTGGGCTCTTATTTCACAGTGTATACATAAAATCAACTCAAAATTGATAGAAGACTTAATATAAGACCTGAAATTGTAAAGCTACTAAAAGAAAACACCGGAAGAACTCCACTGGTCAGAGTAGTTATTTCTCAGGTAGGACTCCAAAAGTACAGGCAACAAAATCAAAAATAAACTAATGGGATTGAGTGAAACTAAAAAGCCTCTGCACAGCAAACGGAACAATAAAAATGAAGAGACAACCTATGGAATGGGAGGTAATATTGGTAAATCATACTTCTGATAAAGGGCTAAAAGCAAAGAGATTTGAGGACTCAAACATTTCAATAACAGAAAACAAACACCTTATTTTAAAATGGGCAAAGCATGTGAACAGACACTTCTCAAAAGAAAATATATGAAAGGCCAACAGATATGTGAAAAGATGTTTGACATTTCTAATCATGTGGGAAATATAAATTAAACTACAATAAGATAACACCTCACACCTGTCTGAATGAGTATTATCAAAAAGATGAATGATAAGTGTTGATGAGAATGAGGAGAAAAGGAATCCCTTGTACACTGCTGGTGAAAACATAAATTAGTACAGGCACTTTGGAGAATAGCATGAAGGCTCCTCAAAAAAACTAGAATTACCATATTCAGCAATTTTCAGCTAGTTTACAGCAATTTCACGTCTGTTATATCCAAAGGAATTGAAATCAGGATGTCAGAGAGATATTTGAACTCCCATGTTCATTTCAGCATTATTCACAGTAGGCAAGATACTAAGTGTCCATCAACAAATATATGGATTTAAAAATGTGGGGGGTGTGTGTGTGTGTGTGTGTGTATATATATATACACTATATATATATAGTATGTATGTATAGTGTATATATATATACACTATATATAGTATGTATGTATAGTGTATATATATAAAATATGTTATATATATTATATATAATATATACACACACGTACACACACAAAATAGGATACTATACAGCCTTAAAAAAAAGAAGAAAATTCTGTCATTTGCAACATCAGTGGATACTGCATGATTATATGTGGAATCTAAATAAGTCAATCTCATAGAAACAGAGAATAGGAAGGTGGTTACCAGAGGGTAGAGAATAGAGGGAGAGATGGGAAAAGCGATGATGCTGATAAAAGGGTGCAAAGTTTCAGTTAAACTGGAGGAATAAGTTTTAGTAATCTATTGTTCTCATGGCGATCACAGTCAATAATAATGAGGTAGGGGGCAGAACTCAACTCTGGAGGTGGCACTCAGACACTGGACCAGATTGAGGCCTAGCTAAAACAGGGCCTCAGTGAAAGCAGCTTTCAATCAGACACTTCCACTAGCGTGCCATGTCAATTTACCATTGCCATGACAACACTCAGGAGTTACTGCCCCTTTCCATGGCAATGTCCTAGTGATTACAACCCCTTTCATAGAAATGTCTGCATAATCTTCACCTTAATCTTCATGCAATTGAAAGTGGGTATAAATATGACTGCAAAACTGCCCTGAGCTGCTACTCTCTGCCTATGGGGTAGTCTCTTTTCCCTCAGAGTTACCCATCTTGAGTCAATGTAGTGAAGCCAGTGTCTAGGATGCCCAGACAAGAGCTATCAACTTGGGGGCCCCAGAGCCAGAATCAGTGTGCCTGCTATGAGCAAGAGGGCCATTGACAATAAGAATGTTTTGACTATCCCTGGTGAGAGACAGAAAAAAAGTTCTCCACCAACTCCAGAGCTAACTCTTTCACTGTCCCCAGTAAGATGCAAGCTGTCTTGCTCAGGTAAGTTTACTGGGAGTCTTGGACCCAAGACCCAGTGGAAAGTTTCCCACAGTGGCAGATAAACAGCTGCCTGAACATTTTTCTTTAGTGTCTCCACTACTGGGTGAGCTCTCTGGTGCCTTAGGGACTCCGGGATAGTCCCTTGAGTAATGCAGTTCACTCCTTCCCTTCTTTATTTGATGCTATGGAATCCCCTTCCCTGTCTCTTTCTATTTTCCACACCTATTGAGGCAAACAAAATTTAGTCAGGCAGCTGGGTCCCAATTTTGTAAATAACTTGAATCCAGTTGTCTTGTATAGGTCATTTTATCTAGTGTGTTTCTTTAGCTCTATCTACAGGCATTGTGATATGTGTTGTGTCTAGCATGCTTTGAAATTGGCTTATAAATAAAAGAGCACTCATAAATTAAATAAGACTAGTCAAAGCTTACTAGTTTGAAGAGAATATTATGTCTTCTAAAATTTAACAGAATTTTTATCTAAGTAAATCACTGATGTTCATTGGCTTTAAAATGGTTAAAATGGCTTTAAATGGTGACATGTTTTGCATGGTATCTTGTTTCTTAGAAGTGGTCTAGATAAAACTGTTAAAAGTGAAAGAACGGAATCGATGCTTAAATAATGAACTTATTGTGTGGTTTAAAGTCTTAAAATGATAGAATAATCCTCACCTATAGAATGTCAATGTCTGCTGGGCAGTTCAGGATTTCTTCCTTTCTAGGTTTATATAAAATGTGCCAAAGAAATATATCCTTTATTTGGAAAAAATAATTTTTGTCTAATTTGGAAGTTATTAAAAGGGAGTTTCAAAATATGAGGGAACCAGTGAGTGAAAAAGAGAGATGTAAAGAATGTTATGGAAAGAAAAAGTACTTTCTGGCTGGGTGCAGTGGATCACAACTGTAATCTCAGCACTTTGGTAGGCTGAGGCAGGCAGATCACTTAAGGTCAGGAGTTGGAGACCAGCCTGGCCAACATGGTGAAACTCTGTTTCTATTAAAAATACAAAAATTAGCCAGACATGGTGGCACATATCTGTAATTCCAGCTACTTGGGGGACTGAGGCAGCATAATCATTTGAACCCAAGAGGCAGAGGTTTCAGTGAGCCGAGACTGCACAACTGCACTCTTGTCTGGGTGGTGGAGTGAGACTCTGTCAAAAAAAATGTATTTTCTTTTCCAAGAAAGCATATAATAAAAGAGTAATTTTATATGAAGAGGGATCTTGTATAGTCATATTTTGTCCTAGAGTAACATGACTGGTTATTTAAGAAAGAGGTAGTATAGGCTGGGTGCGGTGGATCACGCCTGTAAGCCCAGCACTTTGGAAGGCCGAGGCAGGTGGATCAGGAGGTCAGGTGATTGGGACCATCCTGGCTAACACGGTGAAACCCTGTCTCTACTAAAAAATACAAAAAATTAGCCTGGAGTGGTGGCGGGCACCTGTAGTCCCAGCTAATCAGGAGGCTGAGGCAGGAGAATGGCATGAACCCGGGAGGCAGAGCTTGCAGTGAGCCGAGATCACACCACTGCACTCCAACCTGGGCGACAGAGTGAGACTCCGTCACACAAAAAAGAAAGAGGTAGTATAGGACAAGTCAGAAATTTCAAGCAAGTTTTAGATAGTCTGTGTAATTTGTGATAAGATTCATAAATGGGGAATTTATAAAGGGAACTTTGTGTAAAATTAAAAACTTGCTATGATTAAAGAAAATTATTTGTAAAAAAACTTTTTACAAATGGCCTAAATATCAAAATCAAATTTTCTAAAGGTATTAATTTGCTAAATTACCAGAAAATTTTATTTTCAATTCTGCAATATATTTCTTTTGAAAGCTATGCAGATCCATGTAACTCTCTCCTTCAGCTTTTTTGTCAGCTCCTGTTAATTTTTCTCCTCTGTTTATGACTGCTGTTGTGGTCTGATGGTAAAGTGTTTTGTCCTAGAGATCTGTGGGAGCAGTGTTTCCTCCAAATACAGCTTAATTCTATGCTGTTGGTTTTCCTCAATGGGTAATCTCATTTTGGCTTTTGGTTTTTGATTCTTAAGTTGCTTAGAAGGAATTTTGGGGCTAGTGGGTACCTGCTCAACTCCATTCCCTTCGGCCCATGGATCTTGATTTTTGTTTTGTATTACCTCTTTTTGTCATGGTGTGCTAGAGGCAGCATCAATGGCCATGTTTTATTTTGTCCTATGCTGATGACAAGGTCATGTGCTGCCTGCCCTGGGTCCATAATGTCCCTCAGTGGGACCCCCATGGCTGGGGCATTTGGAGCCAGGGGACTTGTAGCCAGTTGGATGTTCTGGCCTGGATCAGAGCGGAAGTGGGTGGACACTTATTGGCCCTTGAACCCCTTTTTAGCAGTGTGGGAGCCAGAGACTAGGAGCCAGGAAATGTATTTATAAAAATTACTTGTCTGTGGACAAGTTTAGCTGCTGTGGTCTTAGCTTATAGTAATTAGCTATACAAACTTCCCTTTTCCCTTTTGGAATTTAGGTCAGGTTCAAAAGGCTTTCCACTATAAAAATAAAATATTACTCTTCTTCAGAGAGGAAAAATAGCTCCCCTGTTTAGCCAGGAGACTTACTTTTGCTAAAACTTGGAAAGAAGAATCCCCTGAAGATCAACTACAACCAAAATGGAAGGGCCCTTATCAGGTGTCATTGAGTACCCCCTCTGCTGTTAAACTTCAGGGAATACCTAGCTGAGTACATCTGTCCAGGGTTAACCTATGTCTTACGAGTCACAGCTACAAAAGGGGGACACCAACACCTACATCTGTGAACCTTTGGGGGACCTCTGCTATTTAAAGAATCAACATCTCAGCCAGAAGTAGTAACATGATGCTGTGGGTGGGAATGGGAGCTACAGTTTTTCTCTTCTTCCTGATTGTAATACTTCCTTTGTATCACTTTAGCCAATCCCTTGGGAAACATCTCTTTTGTCTTTGTTGGGCATAGAGACCACGTTAAGGCCCAGCTGAATCACGATGTCACTGTTCATCCTGTTTGCTCCCCTAGTTACTATGATCCAGTATGGGTGGGAACATAACTCTATAGTAAATATTTCAACAATTATTGCATCAGGAAATCATCTTCACAGTTGCTGGATTTTTCATCAACATTCCCAGGCTAGAGAGGTCTATCTTATGGCTTACTTGGAAAATCACTCACTACAAGTCTCACTTCCCACATCTTACCTGGTTTTTACCCCAGACCTAACTAACCATAGTGATGCTGAAATATTCAAACCCCTGCTTGGTAAATAGAACTCTCCCCACTTAACGGATTATACCTGAATCCTCCTGCCACTATTACTTGGACCTGAAAAATTGTGTATCTATATCTCCAGTGCACAAATGAGTTTATCATTTGCACCCACTGTTGTGTTAATGACACAACAGCAGAAGTTTCCCTGTGATTCTTTGATTCAACTACAGTTGGCAAGTTCCCAAGGCTGCAGTAAAGTAAATGGGATTCCACTTGTAAGTTAGGAGACCATATATGGTGCATTCTTCCAGATCACAACATACAAGGGAAAAATCACTGCCTAGTCTGGAAAGGTAGGAGTACCCCCCTTCTGAAAAATAAAGATTGTCCTGCCACCCCCATTGGAACAGGGAAAAAATATCTCTATAGACACAACTTGGAAGCAAAGGATAAACATCACACCCTGTAGGGCTTCTGTTTGTGCCCCCTCTGGGCTCATTTTTGTTTCTGGTCATGAATGGGAAGAAGTCAAACACTGTAACCTTTAGGAACTCCCTAGGGAGTCACCTGTTGTCTTAGGAGTAGCTTTCCCCTGTACATCAAAAACTTGGAACAGAGATGAATGTACATTGGCCAGCGTTGTCCCCCAGGGGTCACTGTCCATTATTTCATAAGACCCACGAATACCAGAAGTAAGCTAGCAATAGGGTTGATTCCGGCAGGAATCAAGGCAGTGATGGGACTAGCAGCACCTTGGGGAGGCTTTGTCTACCATAAGTCAATCCTAAGGAGCTTGACTCAAACCCTAGAAACCTTAGCTACCAACACAGGTCAGGCATTAAAGGGAATTCAAGTGTCCTTAGACCATTTGGCAAATGTAGTTTTTGATAATAGACTAGTGTTGGATTATTTACCGGCTGAACACAGTGGATTCTGTAAAGTTAATAATAAAACATGCTACACATATATTAACAACCGTGGACAAGTTGAGATTAACATTCAAAAGGTCTATGAGAAAGCTACCTGGTTACATAGATATAACCAGGGCACTGACCCCAGCTATATCTGGCCAACTATCAAAAGTGCCTTCCCAAGTCTTACCTGGTTTTTACCTCTCCTAGGAACTTGGTTGCTATCTTGTTACTAATATTGGCCCTTGCTTATTTAACCTCCTAGTAAAGTTTGTGTCTTCAACATTGGTGGTCCCCAACCTTTTTGACACCAGGGACTGGTTTCATGGAAGACAATTTTTCCACAGCCTGGGGTCGGGGGTGTGGATAGGGGTGATGGTTTCAGGATGAAACTGTTCCACCTCAGATCATCAGGCATTAGATTCTCATAATGAGCATGCAACGTAGATCCCTTGCACACGCAGTTAACAATAGGGTTTGCACTCATATGAGATTTAATGCTGCTGTTAATCTAACAGGAAGTGTAGATCAGACAATAATGCTCACTGGCTTGTCCATCGCTCACATCCTTCTGTGCAGGCCTAACAGGCCACAGACTAATAACAGTCAATGGCCTGGGGGTTGGGAATCCCTGTTTTGGGGACCCCTGTTTTAGATTACCACGATTTTACCAAGTAAAAACAGTGCTGGCACAAGGCTTCCAAGCAATTCCATCTACTGACCTGGAGAATGGAAGTGTCCTGCTTCTGGCCCCTTACAGCAGGTATCTAGAGATTTTTACTCCTCCAGTGCTAGGCAGGGCCTACTCCCATAAACTCAGCAAGAAGCAGTTACAGAAAATGAATCTTACCCTTCTGCAGTCCGTTAAGATTAAGGAGGAGTATCTAATCTTTGAGGGGGCAGGAAATGAGGAAGGAGGCAGGACTTGACTCCAGAGGCAGAGTTCAGACAGTGGACCAGATTGAGGACTAGCTAAAACAGGGCCAGGGCAAAAGCAGCTTTCAATCAGACATGCCCACCAGTGTGCCATGTCAATTAACCCTTGCCATGACAACACCCAGGAGTTACTGCCCCCTTCCATGTGACTCAGTGATGACTACTCCTCCCCTAGAAATGTCTGCATAGACTGCTCCTTAATATGCATGCAATTAAAAGTGGGTATAAATATGACTACAAAACTGTCCTGAGATGCTACTCTTTGCCTATGGACTAGCGCTGCTCTGCAGGAGCAGTCACAGAGCTTAACATCCCCAGAGCTGTAATGCTGCCTCTTCAATAAGGCTATTTTTATGTACCTTTGGCTTGCCCTTGAATTCTTTCCTAGGCAAAGCCAAGAACACTTGCAGGCTAAGCTTCACTTTGGGGCTCACCTGCCCTGCATCTATAATGTATTATATATTTTAAAATTGCCAAAAGAAAATATTTTTTATATTCTTATTACAAAACAATGAAAAATTGGTGAGGTGATAGGTATCTTAATTAAGTTGATTGACTCTTTCTACAATGCATCCATAAATCAGAACATCACATTGTACCTCATATATATACACAATTATTATTTATCAATTAACGTGGTAGCTCATGCCTGTAATCCCAGCACTTTGGAAGACCGAGGCAGGTGGATCACTCGAGACCAGGAGTTTGAGACCGACCTGGCCAACACAGCGAAACCCCATCTATACTAAAAATACAAAAAGTTAGCCAAGTGTAGTGGCATATGCCTATAATCCCAGCTACTCAGGAGACTGAAACACGAGAATCGCTTGAACCCAGGAGGTGGAGGTTACAGTGAAATGAGATGGCGCCACTGCATTCCAGCCTGGGTGATGGAGTAAGACTGTGTCTCAAACAGAAAAAAAAAAAAGATGAATGAATGGCAAATTAAAACTTTTAAAATTTTATTAATTTAAATCTCAAGAGTAAATTGCTTAATGGGGAAATGCAGTTCAGATAAAAATCAACCTGAAATGTTGCAGCATTATTTTCTCCTGGGTTTACTGCTCTTTAAGACATCTATTTACTCAACTCGTGATAGATTTTCTGCTTTAATCTATCAGAGCATGTTTAACTTTAAGGGCGTATTAACAAATCTTGTTTTTAAGACCAGTGATTCTGATGCAGATATATCTATGCCTACCACTACTTAGAACAGAGCAGAGGTTGACTTTGCTGTAGATATACATCTTAGCCAGAAAGAACCATCCGACAGGCATTTTACCATTTAAATTGACTTGAAGATTAATATCTAAACTTTCTACCACATATATTCAATAAGAAGACCATTAGGGGGATGCAAGAAAATATCATAAGGACTTTAATGGGATGCTTCAATCAGTTTAGAAATGTTACTACATTTTACTTGAAGCCATTATGATTCGGAGACATGTTTTCTGAGATTCATGAAACTTTTAATTATCAAGATTAAAATGGAAATATAAATGTTAAATATATAAAATATAATATAAGACTCTAAGAGAAAATGCCTTCTGAGCTGTGTATGAATTAGAGTTCACAAACGTTCTTTTTTCTTCCTTACTTATAGAGGTATTCTCATATAAGGCAGTCTCATTTATCAAATGTGCTGTAAAAAGTTACTTGAATAAAATAATATAGTTTTATGTATATAATTTTGGAAATATGTTCTTAGGGATTTCATAGATAATGATGTGTGTTAATATTATTTACACAATGCTGAACATCAGGGAAAGAAATGGTAAATGCTTTGAAAATTTCCCTTTAGTCTTTTAAAGGCCATTTGGTAAACAAGAATTGTCTCTGACAATTAGAACAAATTTCTGGAAAAAATTTTGCTTCATGTCAGGATAGATAGAAAAGTGACCTGATAGATAAGAAGTAGAAATATTATTTATGGTGTTTTTTATTTTTAAAAGCAGCAATAATGGGCAAGATAAGAGAGTGTTTGGAAAGTCCTTTAAACAAGATTATCTGTAACAGGGTCTGTGGTTGATATGCCTTTTTCATCCTAGTTGGTATGCATTGGCTATATATTATGCTAAGTTTTCGAGGCACCCATTATTTTTAAAGTTTTTTTTGAGGCTGCACTACAATAATTTCTATGAAATATTTTTAGTTGTTATTCAAGCATCTTACTGTTGACCATTCTGTTCTCACTTTTCATCTCAGACAGTTATCTGATATTTTGCCTCAAATGAGTAGTGAGAAACCCTTTGTGTTCTGCCTCTTGATGTTCAAAGGTGATTAAAGTGATGTTGAAGAGACTGTTTAGTAGCAAATTTTTGTTTGCACCATGATCGAGCATGAAAGATTAGAGGAAGTTAATAGAGAACCAATAGAGAAGTAGATATGATTAATCAGAAACACTACTTCGAAGTTTTTTTTTATGTGGATCTTTGTATAATACTGACATTATACAATGATTATTTAATTATCCAATCATTCATTCAGTAAACATTTAGTATGTGCTAAGCACTTCAGTCTCCCAAGAATTTTTGGCCAATCAGGCTTACCTATCAATTGAAACTGAATTCTTATGGATGAGTTTAATTCTGATCATAGCCACAGAAATAAGATTTGGTTGAAATGTAGTGCTAGGTATACTTCCTTCAAAGGCCATGCAAAGGGCGCATCCATTCCAGACATCACAAATTTCTCTTGAAAATATGGAGAAGAATAGAATATCAAGGGATAAATGGACCTTTTCCACTACTGAGTCACATATCTAACCTTCTGAAACAAAGTGGATATACCTCAGGAAATTCAAACTTAAATCCAAAATTGAATTCATGATATACTATTTCATCATCCACACATTTCCTATATTAGTAAATGATACCATACTTCACCTACTCTTCCAACCAGAAGGTTAGAAGTCTTCTAAGATTCCTCTCCATACTCACAAGTGTGAATAACTTCATCATAGGCTTGAAAAATATTTTTATACATAAACATTACATTAATCCATGAAATTAAAAAACAAAAAAACAAATTTGAGCTAAGAGCATTGTTTTAAAAACCAGATAATATATTGAGCATTACAAATAGTACATAAGCATGGTTAGTTAAAAGAAAGAAAAACCGGGGATTGGGACTAGGTTCTAATAATGAAACTAGCCATCTCTATTGTCCATAGAGTCCTGTTGATTCTATTTTGTAAAGATATCTCGAGTATGACCCCACTTGTTTATTTCTTCCTCCATTTCTGCCTTCATTGTAGCCTCAAATATATCATTTTTCCTTTTAGATGTCCTTTCTCTTTTTTGCTACATTTCAACATACCATGCCCATTTACTAAGACTCAGCTCACTCTTCATCTTTCTCTGGAAGCCTTTCCTGACCTCCTTCCACCAAGGGTTAGAGATAATTTGTACTCTCAACATCTTATGTAAGTCGCCATCCCTTTACATTCTAATTGCAATGATCTGTAATCATTTACTCATTTGTCTCCCCAGATAGAGTAAGAAATTCACTAGGCAAGGGACTGCAGCTATCATCTTTGTATTCTTAGCACTTGTGCATTGTCACACATGATAAACCATAATTGTCTTTAATAAACAAGTGACAACACCATATAAAATGGGGAATTTATTTATTGAGAAATTTACACTCCAAATACACTTCTGCTAACAATTCATCAAAATACTGCTAAAATATTGGGGAGGGAGTTGCAAAAAAGAGAATTACTCTGCAGCCCTTTACTGAAACATGCCATTAAAGGAAATACCACTTTTTCTCTCCACATAGGAGATTTTTCAAAATTATATCATGGTCATCTAGCTTTGGGATATGTGAAAACAAAACATGTATAAGTTTATATATGAGATTTATCATTAATGTTGGTTATAATTACTTCACCTAACAAACGGAGAAAATTATGCCATGTTTAGGTGTGACTATTGGATAGTTTTGGTCTGGAATAGAAAATGCATTGGAGATAATTTTCTATTGATTAGTACCCTCTGGCACAGCATGCTTTAATTGTTAAGATTTATTAAACTCTGTCATCCTAATCACCTCCCCATCATACCCTGATCCTTTAGGTGGGTCTTAGGGAAAAAAATGAGACAATAAGAAATGGGCCCCTACTATGATATAAGACCTGGGAGATCCTGTTCTTGTTTGGAATGTCAGGATATTGGTTAGGGCATGGGAAGGGGGTGAAGGGTTTGTGAGAAGGAGAGCACAGTAAAATGTCTGAATCTTGATGGACATGGCTAAAGTAGTCAAGCATGGCCCTTAAAGGAACCATTATTTGTCTCAGGTTTGCTATTTGTCACATCCATATCAGCACCTGGGCTTGAGAATATTTTGTTCTGAAACCAAGGAAATGAGAATAGAAGAGATGGGTAGTTATTATGTCTTTACTTGCCCACTACACTCAAATAAATAGTCCTGTTTTTCTTTCTTAAGATGTTTTGGGTTATTGAGTGTCAAATTTGAGCAGCAAGTAAAAGAAAAGGGAAGACGTCATACAGGTGCCCACAAGAGGCTTCTGAAACACCTTCCTCTGGAATATAATTTAATTATTAAGTATCAAGCCTCTTTTAAGTATCTCACCAATGTGAAGTACTTCATGATAGACTTGAGAAAATTATTCATACATAAATTCTATTATATTAATCCACTAAATGGGAAAGTAGAAAAAAAATGAGCTAAGAGCATTGTTTTAAAAACTAGTTAATACATTGAGCATTAAAAATAGTATATAAGCATAGTTGGATGAGAGAATGAAAAAAGGAGATTGAGAATAGGTTCAAATAATGAAAAACTAATATATTTTAGAATAGCAAAGAAGATATAAACTAAGCAATATGTTCACATGGAGAAAACTTGTTTCTTTTAAATTTCTGAACATTCTGTCAGAGTAACTTACAAATTAGCTTAGAAACAGAATCCTTTCTAATACAGTTGACTTCTTAACAGTCAAGTGTTTAAGAAGCTTCCAAGTTTTTCTTTTAATTTAGAAGAACCACAGCATCTGCTTCCTATGTGGTAAGTAATAAGGACTTATCTAGTGAATGGCTTGTACCACTCTGAAAGATGCAGTTTAAATTTCATTACTACCACCTTCCTGAGTTAAAGTTTAGTTTGGGTTGAAATTGGGAAGGAAGATTTTCAGTAATTTATTTTTTAAAAGGAAAGAAAAGAGCATTATTTTTAAATTCCCATAAAGTACATAAGCAAGAAAATCAGTCTGAAGAAAGCTCAAAAAGTTCAAATTATGGCTTTTGGAGGAGTCTCAAATACAGCCAATTGAAGATTAACAAGATTAACTATCTGAATAGTGGTCAACACTGTTTACAGTATATGCATAAGTAATCTTTAGTAATTTTAATGAAGTTATCATCATTCTGTCTTTTTTCTCTTGGAAGAAAGGATGTGTATATTTCCTGAGGATCCACAGAGAATGAATTTCTCTGAGATTTTAAATCAGCTGAGAAAAATTGTACCTGTCATAGACTGGTTCGGAAGCTATTAATGACACTATACTTGATTGACTAAATTGGCTAAGAAATAGTTCTTCTAAGCTCCTGAAGATAAATTCAATCAGAAGAAGATTCAAGACTATAGCACTCAAGTCACATGAAATAAAAATTAATTTTAGTTTTGTAAGCTAAATGGCCAATAATAGTGTTCTATTCAGATTTTGAAAGATGTAGCAACATTTAATTCTGGAAAGTTGCTGTCTCATGTACTTACTAGTATAATATATAACTAAAATATTAGATATTTAGTTTGTGTCCAGAACCATTCCAAGCATTTTAAAAGAAATATCTTACCATTATGTCCATGAAGTCAGTTTCCCCTTTTAACGAATTAAGAAACAGGCTTCCAGGTCCATTTTACTACATAACTTACATATCTTATTGCACTTGATCATTCAAATACATTAACTGGGCTCTTATTGTGTGCCAGGAACTGTTCCTAGCACAAGAAACACATGAAATGAACCTACAAAAATTTCTACTCTAAGGAATATGGAGTCTATTGTCCTGACAGCATCTACATTTATTATCTTAGCTTTACTTTAGGTTTCCAATTCAAAATAGCGCACAATTTCAAATTTTCCACCTTTCCTCCTACCCCATTCATCTCTGTTTATATTGAGAATAGAATTGTAGTGGTATTTTTCAAGTTCTATGTTTTGTAGCAAAATAATATGGAGGATATGTTGACAAGAGGAATATACACTGCTTTAAAGGTTAAATTGAAGTAAAAGATAACTATCTGTGACACTGTAAATCTTTCTTTCACGTCCTTGAAATCAAGTTGGCCATGTGAGTAAGGTCATTGATAAGTTGAAAGAAGCCAGGTCATCTATCAACTTTGTAACCTGAACATCCAATTGATCTTTGTGAGTCCACTTCCCTGCCTGTAGCTTGGGCAAAATAATGAAACTTAATGTCAGTTTATGATTTTACATTATGAAATCAATTTATACATGTATGTGAATGAATCCTCTTAATTAATTGATTGATTGCTCCACCAATATTAGTTATTTTTAAATTTTCCAGGATCTGGCTTAGTAAGTACTCAATAAATGTCCTTGAACTAACATGGTTAAAACCATTAGAACTTTCTCAATTTATTGTACGTTTTCTTGTAATAAACCAACCTCCCAGTACATATATGTATGTATGTATGTATATATATACATATATATATATATATACATATATATATATATATACATAAATGAAAATATCTGGTGGTTATTCAATAAACCATTTTGTCAGTGATAGAAATACTGATTCAACTGCCAACTCATAAATGAAAAATTCATATGGCGGTCTGCGTGTATATTTATGTAATATTTCTTATCAGTCATCACAGATATTAACCGTTTAATGATCTTTGCATTGATACATTTCTTGAGTGTTTAGGTTATTCACCTATACATCCTCAAAGGCTAGCAAGGCCTAATGCATGATAAAAAATTCAATTTTACATATAATATGTATATGTATAATTCTACATATTATATTTTATATATATATGTTTCTCTTGCAGGATCACTATGGGAACTTTTAAATAGATATTATATTTATTCTACTGATGACAGATATAAACTAAATAGAGTAATCAATTAGAAGTTTCTTAAGTGATATGAGCCAAAGAGACTCTGGTGACTGATGAGTATCGATGCATACTGTTTTTCTTTGAGTAAGTCATTCACCCATTATGTAAAATTTTTAGCCAACTGGTAAAATATAAAGGCAGTTTACCCTTGATATACATGTTCTTCTAGCTAAATATGGGTTTATTTATTTCTTTTAAGCTCAAATAAACACACAGGTAAGCCATTGATCCTTTGCATATTCAGTGTCAGAATAAAGGGACAGTTGTCTTCTTTAGTCATTTTTAGGATGACCAAAGTCCAGAAATCACCCATCAAGTGAGTGGGTGGATGATGCCAACCAGTGCTCAGGAATGGCGAAGACCTCACCGTTAGTTAGCAAGCATTGATACAGTAACTTGGTGCATAGTCATTCAACAGATAGGGATAATGGAATAAGTGAATAAAACACTGAAAAGTCAAAAAAATAGGACCAAACACATCCATTTTGAATTAGCCAAGTTTGTGGCAAGAGAGAAGCTTGATGTTTTTCTTTCTGGAGATAAGGGCAGTACTGAATGTCTATAAATTTTTGAACAAGGCATCTCAAATTTTAATGTGCATATAAATGACTTAGGACTCTTGTTAAAATGCAAGTTCTTATTCATCAGTTCTTGATGGGCCCTAAGATTCTATATTTCTAACAAGCAGCTAGGTGATGCTGATGTTGTTCTTTGGACCACACTTTAAATAGTAACTGTATAGATTATAACCTTTTATATTTTTCACTTACTTTATTGATATATTTTATATGTTTATAGTTTTTTAGGCATTTTCATTATGTCACATTTAGATATGCATTACATTGCTAAATTTTTACAATAAATTTGATAGACTGGCATGGAATATACTGTCAGTAATTCCATTTTAAAGAAGCTGAGACTTAGAAGTTAAATCATGATGTCAAATCACTTAGAAGTTAAATGATGATGTAAACCACTCCATATCAATTGTCCCAGAGCTCCTTCCTCTACATCTTTCTGTCTTCATTGGCCTTTTACACACAGAAAACTGCCTGTGCATGTGGTATATATCATAAAGTCAAGAAACATGTCAAAAACAGATTTTAAAAAAATTATTAACCAATGATTTCCTTTCCATAAAGATAATGTTGTTGGACCTACTGTGGCTATAGTGGCTTTTGAAATATTTTTTTCTGCCTTAGATATTAAAGACATAACTCACAGAACAGATAATATAGGAGCTAAGACACAAGGTTAGAATAAATCTATGCAACAAACGACATGAATACCACATGATACATTAGAAGAAAACATGTGCAAACAGACCAAGGATAAAGACATGTTTACCGCTAGAAAGTCATGGGCAGGTGGGATAGTTTGTTGATGAAATTCGAGGTTAGATGAATAAATAGGATGTTTTCAGTGAGGGACTGAGTGAAAGGGGAAGATTCAAAAGACATTGAGAAGAGAAAAATTCACAGAACTGGTAATGGTTTTTAAATGTCTGTGTGGGCTTCTGGTGATGGTTGTGGTGGATTAAACAAGTAGAAACTATGGAAATAAATATGTTGAGGGCAGTATGACAATGAATGACAGTAACCTAGCACTGTTCCCTACAGATGTCCATTTTGTAAAGATAAGTAGCATAGGCTTGTGGTAGATCTTTAAAGAGAAAATGTAAACAAGATAATAAGTTAATGATTTTGTATATTTATTCAGGGAAGAGATAATAAGAATCAGAAAAAAACAGGTTTTACCCAGAAGAATTAAAAAAATGGAGAGAATAAATTTGGGAGACACATAACTTCGTGCCTACTTGGATGCTGGGTTCTGAAACAGAAAGAAGAGTTGTAAATGACTCAGAAGTTTAAGCCAATGTAACTGAATGGCAAGTCATGACTTCCATGAGATAAGAGCAAAAGAAAAAAGGACAATGGAAGAGATGTTGAGTTCAATTTTAAGGAAAATGTTTTGCAGACAGAATAACCATATAAAGAAGAAGTTGATTAGCAGTTAGAAATGCAGTTACAGAACTGTGAAAATTTTGTATATGAATATTAATTTTCTTTTATTTTCTTTTTTTTTTTTTTTTTTTGAGACGGAGTCTTGCTCTGTTGCCAGACTGGAGTGCAGTGGCGCCATCTCAGCTCACTGCAACCTCCGCCTCCTTGGTTCAAGGGATTCCCCTGCCTCAGCCTCCCAAGTAGCTGGGACTACAGGCATGCTCCATCATGCCCGGCTAATTTTTTTGTATTTTAGTACAGATGCAGTTTCACCATGTTGGCCAGGATGGTCTGGATCTCCTGACCTCATGATCCGCCAGCCTCGGCCTCCCAAAGTGCTGGGATTAAAGGCGTGAGACACTGCGCCCGGCTTAATTTTCTTAATATAAAAGTAAGATAAGTGATTGCATATTACTTATGCAAGTTTTTTTTATAAACATGTTTTTTCTCTTGTGTTAACTTATTTAGTTTATTTGAAGATTGTCTGACAAAAAACTGTGTTTTCGGTGCACAGCATTAAACACAGGTTTCTGATAATTTTAAATCAATGGACCAAATAAAATTGTACATAAAGAAACTGATGGATCCATGAAACTGCTAATAGAGATCAAGCTGAAAATAAGCTGATTATATAACATTAAATAACTGATAAAGATAATGTTTTTATGACTGTTATTTAAAATATTATTGATCCTTTACTTAAATGCTTTGTTTTCCAGATTTCAAAAAAAGTCTTTCTTAAGCAATTTGGTAAAATATAGTTGTGTAAACAAAGATAAAAACATTTTTCTTCTTATTTAATTTCTCCAAAAATTTAAAAACTATTTGCAAATATTTTTATGGCAATATGGTTATTTACAAAAGTCCAATAAAATCTGCTCTCTCTTTACAGCAAAATACAATTGAAAACATTGCTTATACTACCAAGGTGCCAAGGCTTCAATTAAAATGTCACATTTTACAATATGTCCAAAATTTCTGACTTCAAGAGTTCCCATTCTTACAATAAGTAAATAAAAACTGTCATTTCCTGGAAGGCCCAGGAACCTTAAGACAGTAAGCAAATTCTAAAGTCTGCCTTGGTTTGGCTTCCTAGCTTCAAGAGTTTTTTAAATCTAGGGTTTCTATATGATCAATTAAAAACATGTTTACAAAGAAAAGCTATAATACACCTGTTATTAGATTGTAACTCTATATATCATTTTTAGTTATTGTTATCTATCTATAGGCTAGACTAGGTCTTAAATTGTTTTAGGTTCCTCCAATTCAACTTTCTTCCATAAAAGTGGTAAAATGAGAACTGCTCTGTCCTTAAAGCCCTATAAGGTAATGCTAGGCAAGTTCTAAAGAACAATTCTCATGTCTGGTATATGAAACACAGAAAGTTCACAAAACCGCCTGATGCCACGACCAAAGACATTCAAACTACAAACTAGGACAAAAAGTTTCTGTTTTCCACATGAAACAACTTTCCTTGAGATGTTGGAACAAGATTCCTTATTATTATGAGACTCTTACACCCCTCAAGGCTGCCTTTTTCATTGACTGGATAATGGCATAATTAAAATTTCAGTCAGTAGCTTCTGTTGGTAACTTGACATATCTTGACCTAAGAAATCCCTTTTATCTGTACTGTGAGCAGCTCTGACAATATCCCTATCACAACTTTTTGTTCAAATTGTACTGGTAATCCTTTTGGTAAAGCTGGTATTCTCTGCTTTAATTCAACCCAGTCATAAACTACTACTCAGTGGCTATAACAAGTCTCAGCAGAATATGTCTAGACTTTTAGATATGTTTTGTTGGTTACCTTCAGAATTAGGTTTAAGCTTTCAAACTAGTTATTCAAACTGGATTTATTATATGTTTACTGACGGTTTTTTGTATGATAATTTTTAAGCTTTGTTTCTATTGCCTGTCTAATCTTTGTAAAGCCAACTCTTCCAACAGGATAATATTAGTTCAATACCTCAAGATGATTGCTGATGTCTGCCCAGGGACAGATAAAATGGAATTTGATGCTGGGATCCAGCCAAATCTGCCCTGAGAACATTTTTCTTTCTGGCCCATTTGTTACTTAAATGTGGCCTAAGTCTCTGATGACCCCAAACATTTCCCCAGACATGGGACAGAGACAACTAGGACAGGTTCATCTTGGCATGAAGGGATAATTAAGCCTAACTGTAAAATGATTGATTAGTGATGCTTTCAGATAAGGATGTTGATCAAAAGGGGGGAAATGTGAAAGCTGATAATCTAAATTGGGTCATTCTTGTCATACTCAACTAAAACAAAGTCTAGAAAAGCCAGGGGGAGAAAACACTCAGGGCACAAAACAGGGCTCCAAGAATGTAATTCTCTGCACATACTTGACTGCTGGAATTGCTTGTTGTAACCTGAAACCAGTTTTATCTATAGCTTCCGAGATAACTTGCTGCAACTCTAGGACTAATTTTGTCCACCTCTGTCACTCACCAATGGGAGCTGGCTAAACTTTCTCGAAAAACAATACATAAAATCTATCCTTTCTTAATAAATCCTCTAATCTTGTCTTTGTTCTTTAGACATAATCAAAGACCACCCAGTCTGCAGGTATGTCATGAATTGCTATTCTTTCTTCCCAAATAAAACATGAAATTTAGAAAATTGTCTTTATATCTTTATTTTTACTTCAAATGCATGTCATGTTTGCCACCATTTTTATAAAGGGGTAAAGAAAAAAAAAGAAATTTAGTGTCCAACAATATGCTATGCTAAAAATAAATAATTGTTATACTGTTGCTCCAGTATTTAAAAGCATAGTCATTTTTTGTTGTTTTATTTTTAACCGTTGCTGGTTAAATGATTTAGCTTTGCTAAAGAGAGGATTTTTTCTTTTTCTGAGAAATAAGAGGTGGAAAACATTGTCTAATATTGCTGAGGGGTCATAATAAGCAAGAAAACCATCCTCCGGATTTGGCAATAAATGTTATTGGTCACCTTTATAGGAGAGGATTTAGAAGAAAAGATTACCAAGCAGTACTTCTTCATAAATACTCAGGTTTAATTTAATTTATCTTTTCATTATTCCCACAAAACTCTGGGGAAATTTTTTCTTCCTCTTAATTAAAAAAATTTCCTCCATCTAGAGTATGTATTCCAACACTTCTTATATCTGGGACAGTTCTTTCTTAATTAATATCTCTCTGTGCTGGTTCCTTGCTCCTCCTCTTCATGGAATACTTCACCCTATCATAAACATGAAGACAGTAAAAATATGTCTTTGATTCTACATACAAGAATATCATTTTTGGCCTCCCTTTGACAACAAACTCCTCACAAAAGTAGTTTGTGCATTTTCTTCACTTATGATTGATGCATTTTTTTAATTCCTATAAACTAATTTCTGTTTCCACCACTCTACTGAAAATGCTCTCCAAACATTCACAGGATGACAGGGTTTTTGGTAATATGTATTGGCTTTGTCTCACTCATCTTACCCCCATGACCTTTCTGAGACATTGATACTGACTCCTGACATTCCCACTTTTTCCTGAAAGTGTTTCCACTTTGGGAGGCTGGCACACTGTAGTCCCTGATCTTTCTGGTAACACTTTTTTTCTCTTCACTAGTTATTTTGCTTTTCCAAGAAGTTGTTCTCGGTTCTTTTCTTTTTTCTTATGCTCATTTTTAAAAAATAATTTCAACTTTTATTTTAGATTTAAAAGGTACATGTGCAGGGTTGTTACCTGGGTATATCGTGTGATACTGTGGTTTGGGGTACAAATGATCCCATCAGCAAGGTAGTGAGCATATCACCCAATAGTTAGTTTCTCAACCCTTTGTCCCCTCTCTTTCTCCCATCTCTAGTAGTCCTAAGTGTCTATTTTTGCCATCTTTATGTCCATGAGTATCTAATGTTTAGCTCCCAGTTATAACTGAGAACTTGCAGTATTTGCTTTTCTGTTCCTGCACTGATTCACTTAGGATAACGACTTCCAGCTGCATCAATTTTGCTTCAAAGGACATGATTTTATTCTTTTTATGGCTGCATAGTATTCCATCATGTAGTTGTACCATATTTTCTTTATCCAATCCACCATGGATGGGCACCTAGCTTGATTCCATGTCTTTGTTATTGTGAGTAGTGCTGTGATGAACATATGAGTGCACGTGTGTGTTTTTTTTTTTTTTTGGTAGAAAGCTTTTGCATAAATACCCAGTAATTGGATTGCTGGATTGAATGGTAGTTCTGTTTCAAGTTCTTTCAGAAATTTCTAAACTAGTTTCCACAGTGTCTGAGCTAATTTACATTCCCATCAACAATATATAAGTATTCCTTTTTCTCAGGTTTGAAGAACTCTCTTTCCTTTGTCTTCTACTCTGGACCTCTCGCCTCATAAATACAAAACCCAGCCTGAGGATTCAAAGTGAATGTTCCCAAATTACAAGTGTCTATAGAAAATCTCTATGTAGAGTCTCCACAAGCACTCACCCCACTTGAATTCCCTTTGCAACTTCTAGTTAATCACCTTCATCTTCCCATGCTTCAGACCTTGTAGTTATACAGAACTAATGTCATCAACACCTATTATTTTCATATGAAACAGTTTGATGATTACAAAAGCCATTATAACACAGTACAGAGAGAATGATAGTCTGTTTAAAGCACAAGTACTCACAGGCCTGAAGGAATATGTAACAAAATGTCATTAGTAGTTTTCAATAGGTTTCAAAGCTGAGTGATTTTTTAAAACTTAAAAAATCATTTACTGAACATTAGTCATGGCTCTAAATAATTTTGAAAGTAATCAATGTTAATTAATTTAATGTAAATATTCCAAGGTCATTACTTTCTCTTTATGCAACCTTTATGTTGCTCCTACTTTTATTTTATAATACCTAGATTGTTATAAAAGATTTTGGTTCAAACTCCTGATTCTAATTTATTTCTATAGAATTTCACTCTACATGCCATTATGACTAACAATTCCACCTTCTTCTCGATTATGGCCTCAAGAATCCAAATTTCACTTTAGTCTTCTAAGCCCCCATTCCTGGATTTAAACAGCCATCTTCTTATGGCTGTATCCTACTACTGCAACTTTGCCATCTTCTGCTAGCCATGTGACTCCTGGAATGTCCTTAGTCCTCTCCTCACCTCTCCCACCACTGTTGTGCTCATTCCTGTCTCTAGGCTAGCTCCTAAATATAGCTACCATACTGAAACTGGGCCAAGTAGAAAGCATCATTTCTGTTTCATGTAACAAATATGCTAGGTGAGTATGATGAGCTTCACCCAATAGATAAGAAAATTAATGTTCAGAAACATTAAGTAATTTAAGTAAAGTTACACCCCTGAACAAGGGGCAAAGGGAGTAAAATTCATGTATCGCTAGTATAAAGCCAACACTGGTTCCATCATACTTTATAGTAATTTCCTTGTCTCAGCTGCTCTTACACAGTTGACTCTTGAACAACACAGGTTTGAACTGGTCAGGTTCACCTATACATAGTTTTTTTTCAATAAATACATTGAAAATTTTGGGGAGGTTTGCAACAATTTGAAAAAACACACATGAACTGTGTTGTGTAAAAATATAAAAAAATAAAGAGGTATATCATAACTGCATAAAATATATGTAGGTACTAGTCTGTTTTGTCATTTGTTACCATAAAATATACAAATATATAAATCGATTATAAAAAGATAAAATTTGTCTAAACTTCCACTATAAACACTTCCAGATCATACAAGGTGCCATGCACAGTCAAGAGAAAGGTAAACAAATGTAAAGATGCAATATTAAAGGATAACTGAATGAAATTAACTATAGTACATATGGTACTACTGTAGTGATTTTGTAGCCTCTCTTGCTACTATTGTGATGAACTGAAGTTTTGTGGGTAGCTGCTTAAAATGCTGTGTGACATTAATCTCTGCATAAGCAGTTCATCTGTCCAGTAAATCGCATATTTCAGTAAAAGGTGATTTTTTTGTAGTTCTTATTTATCATTTTTAGTGCAATATCATAAACCTTGACTAAAATGATGGGACCAATATGAAGTGCCACTAGTGATGCTGAGAATGCTCCAAAGAAGCATAAAAAAGTCATAACATTAATGGAAAAATTTGAATTGCTTGATAGGTACTATAGATTGAGGTCTGCAGCTGTGGTTGCCCACCATTTCAAGATATATAAATCCAGCATAAGGATAATTATTCAAAAAGAAAAGGAAATTTGTGAAATTTTCATTGCAGCTATACCAGCAGGAGTGAAAACCTTGTACTTATTGCAAAATACTTTTTTATCTCATTTTGATAATGTAGCTTTTATGTGGGTGCAGGATTGCTATAACAAAGTTGTTCCTATAGACTTTATCATAATTGAAGAAAAAATGAAGTCATTATATGACAACTTAAAGAAAAAGAAAGGTGAAGGATGTAAAGCTGGAGAATTTAATACCAGAAACGGATGGCTTGATAATTTTAGAAAGAGATTTGGCTTTTTTTAAAATGTCACAACAATAGGAGAAGAAGGTTCAGCCAACCAAGAGAAGGCAGCAGAAAAGTTCTCAGACACCATTAAGAAAATCATTGAGAAGAAAGGATTTCTGCCTGAACAGGTTTTTAATGCAAAGGAAAGTGACCCATTTTGGAAAAAAATAATACTACAAAGGACATTCATTAGTAAGAAAGAGAATTGAGCCCCAGAATTTAAAGCAGGAAGGGACAAGTTAACTCTACTGTTCTGTGCAAATGCAATTGGGTTTATGACCAGGACTGACTTTATCTAGAAATATACTAACCCCCAAGGACTGAAGGGAAAGCATAAACACCAGCTTCAAATCTTTTGATTATACAAGAAGACCTGGACAATGAGAACCTGTATTAGTCTGTTTCATACTGCTAAAATAAATACCGAAGACTGGGTAATTTTATAAAGAAAAGAGGCTTAATTGACTCATAGTTCGCATGGCTGGGGAGACCTCAGGAAACTTACAATCATGGCAGAAAGGGAAGCAGGAACATTTTACGTGGCAGCAGACAAGAGGGAGCAAGTGTGAAAAAAGAACTGCCAGACACTTATAAAACCATCAGATCCCATGAGAACTTACTATCATGAGAATAGCATGGGGGAAATCGCCCCCATGATCCAATCACCTCCATCCCAGTCCATCCCTCAACACATGAGGATTATGGGGATTACAATTTGAGATGAGATTTGGCTGGGGATACAGAGCCAAGCCATTTCAGAAACATTTTTATGGAGTGGCTCCATCAATGCTTTGTCCCTGCAGTGAGGAAGTACCTTGCCAGTAAACGGTTGACTTTTAACATTCTCTTAATAATTGAATAATGCCATTGGCCACCCACAACTCTCTTGAGTTCTACACCTAAGGTGTTGAAGTGGTCTACTTGCCCCCAAACAAAATGTCTCTAATTCAGTCTCTAGATCAGTAGGCCATAAGAACTTTTAAGGGTCGTTAAACATGGTTCTTTATGGAAAGGATTGTCTGCTATAGAAGAGACTTTTGACAGAGAGAATATCATGAAAGTCTGGAAGAATTGTATTATTGAAGATGTCATCTTTGTTAGAGGAAAAAGCCATGAAAGCCATCAAGCTTGAATCAGAATGTTTCTGTTGGAGGAAACTGTATTTAGATGTTGTGCATGACTTCACAGGATGTATGACAGCGTCAATCAAAAAAATCATGAAATAGACAGTAGATATGGCAAAAAAGGTGGGAGGTGAAGGATTTCAACATTCAGGTCTTGGAGAAATTAAAGCACTAATACACACCATGCCAGAGGAATTAATAGAAGATAATTTAATGAAGATGAGTACTTCTGAATGAGTACCAGACAAAGAGGTAGCAGATTTGGAAGAAGTAGTACCAGAAACACATTGGCATTAGAGAATCTGACAGAGGGGTTCCAGTTACTCAAGACTGCTTTAACTTATTTTACAACAGGGACCCTTACATGAAGCATTGCTTCAGTAAAGTAAATGCTGGAAGAAGGATTGGTACTATCTAGAAACATTTTTGGAGACATGAAAAAGCAAAAAAGTTAGACAGAAATTACCATGCATTCTGTAAAGTTATGCTTCTGACCCATTTGCATTTATTCCGCCTCTTCGACTTCTGCCACTCCTGAGAGAGCAAGAGCAACCCGTCCTTTTCCTCCTCCTCCTCAGCCTACTCAACATGAAGACGTAGATGAAGACCTTTATGATGATACATAAGTATCATCATAGTAAATATATTTTATCTTATGATATTTTAAATAATATTTTCTGTTCTCTAGTTCACTTTGTTGTAGGAATACAGCATATAATACATATAACATACCAAATAGTTGTGCATCCAGTTTATATTACCAGGAAGGCTTATAGTTAACAGGAGGCTATTAGTAGTTAAGTTTTGGATAAGTCAAAAGTTACATCTGGATTTTCAACTGCATGGGGGTTAATGAACCTAACTACCACATTGTTCAAGAGTCAACTGTATATTCCTGAATTTCTAGCTTAAATATATTATCTCCATTAAGTTTTCGCTTACTGCTACTTAGGAATGGCTATAGGAATGGCTCCTCTCTCTAACTTCCTAGGGAACCCTTCACTAATATCATTTCCTTGTAGCCATCTTTCGATAGCTCATGTCTATGTCCCTGATTACACTCTTTGAGAATGGAAATAATATCTTACCACTTGTTTGTAAATTTTATATCACTAAGCACAACTCTGGACATATGGTAGTGACATTAGCATAATATATGTTTTCAATAAGTTGTTGATTGATCATATTGTATAATAAAAAATGCCTTAATGCTGATTTATCTTTCATAATAGGAAATTAAAAGCAAATACCATATAAAAATAGACATATTCTTTCCTCCACTTGGTTTATTCTGCTATTAATACTTGTGATTGCATTTTTAGATTCTTGTATTGTGTTTTTCAGCTCTATCAGGTCACTTATGTTATTCTCTATGCTAGCTATTTTGTCTGTCAGCTCCTACAATGTTTTACCATAATTTTTAGCTTCCTTGCATTGCATTAGAATGTGCTCCTTTAGCTTAGTGAAGATCAATTTTATCCACATTCTGAAGTCTACTTCTGTCATTTCAGCCATCTCAGACTCTGCTCAGTTCTGATCACTTGCTGGAGAGGTGATATAGTCATTTTAAGGGAAGATGGTACTCTGACTTTTTGAGTTTTCAGCCTTCTTGCACTGATTCTTTCTCATCTTTGTGGGCTTATTTACCTTCAATCTTTGAGGTTGCTGCCCTTTGAATGGAGATTTTTGTTTGTTTGTTTGTTTTTGTTTTTCTTTTAAAAGTCTGGCCTCCTTTCCATAGGGCTTCTGTAGTTTGCTGGGTGTCCACTCCAATCCCTAGTCACCTCAAATTTTCCGGTACCTGGAGATATCACCAGTGAAGACCACAAAACGGCAAAAATGGCAGCCCTTCCTCTGGGAGCTGTGCCCCAGAGTACAAGAACAGAGACATAGACCGATAGAACAGATTAGAGAACCCAGAAATAAGACTCCACACCTACAACTATCTGATCTTTGACAAAACTGACAGGATTCCCTATTCAATAAATGGTGCTGGGATAACTGGCTAGCCATATGCAGAAAATTGAAACTGGACCCCTTCTTTAGACCATATACAAAAATTATCTCAAGATGGATTAAATACTTAAATGTAAAACTTAAAACTAGAAAAAGCCTGGAAGACAACAGAGGCAATACCATTCAGGACATAGGCACTGGCAAAGATTTCATGATGAGGATGCCAAAAGCAATTGCAACAAAAGCAAAAATTGACAAATGGGATCTAATTAAACCAACGAGCTTCTGCATAGCAAAAGAAACTATCAACAGAGTAAACAGACAACCTACAGAATGGAAGAAAATTTTTGCAAACTATGTGTCTGACGCAAGTCTAACATCCAGCATCTATAAGGAATTTAAACAAATTTACAAGAAACAAATAAACAACCTCATTAAAAAGTGGGCAAAATACATGAACAGACACTTTTCAATACAAGACATACATGCAGCCAATAAGCATATGAAAAAAAGGCTTAATATCACTGATTATTAGAGAAATGCAAATCAAAACCCCAATGAGACCATCTCACACCAGCCAGAATAGCTATTATTAAAGTCTAAAAGTAACAGATACCGATGAGGTTGTGGAGAAAAAGGAACGCATATACAATGTTGGTGGGACTGTAAATTAGTTCGACCATTGTGGAAAACAGTGTGGCGATTCATCAAAGACCAGTGTGGCATACCATTTAACACAACAATCTCATCACTAGGTATATACCCAGAGGAAAATAAATCCTTCTGTTATAAAGACACATGCACACATATGTTCATTGCAGCACTATCCACAATAGCAAAGACAAAGAATCAAGCCAAATGCTCATCAATGATAGACTGGATAAATAAAATGTGGTACATATATACCATGGAATATTATGCAGTCATGAAAAAGAACAAGATCATGTCCTTTGCAGTGACACAGATGGAACAAGGGCCATTATCCTTAGGAAACTAATGCAGGGACAGAAAACCAAATACCGCATGTTCTCACTTGTAAGCGGGAGCTAAATCATGGGAACATGTGAACACATAAAGAAGAATAACACACACTGGGGCCAATTGGAGGGTGGAGGGTGGGAGGAGGGAGATGATCAGAAAAAATAACTAATGGATATTAGGCTTAATACCTGGGCGATGAAATAATTGGTACAACAAACCCCATGACACATCTTTGCCCGTGTAACAAACCTGCACATCCTGCACATGTACACCTGAACTTAAAATAAAATTTAAGTAACAATAATAAAATAGACATAAATACTTAATGTAAACTAATAATAGGAAATTGTTAGTGCATGTTACTTTTTCTATTATATATCATCAGTAAAATAAAGCATAAAATACAATGTTATGCAAAGAGGAAAGGACAACATAATGCACCTTTTATCTGATTAGTGAGTTTTCACTACTCCAGTAAAAATGCTAACAATAATAAAGCAATTTTTTGTACGCAGTTTTTCCTTTTCTGAAGATATATCTAAAGTTTATTTGTAACTTTTGATGTAAACACTCAATATAACATTTTATCTCTATTATGCTTTTTTTCTGCAGTTTAAAATTGTTCAACTTTTCATTGATCTTCCAAAGAATGCATGTTTTAAAATTATATAAAATTACTTTAAATGGGCATGCTTATTCACTAAAAATAAGAAAATAAACAATTTATTTTGATCTGATGGCAATGCTCTTAAGAGAAATGACTTTAATAATTTAATATTTAACATATACATAGAAGGGTGATTTGTAATAACTGCTTAAATATAGATTAAAATTTGTGCAAATGAATATATGCAAAAATTTTTAGACCAACATCATGAATGTCTGCTTTTTTGTAGTATCACTTTCACTCTACAGAGAGATATAGATATAGATACAACTTTCTTTTGGATAGATATAAACATATAAATCTCCTTATAAAGATACAAAATACTTGAATTAGGATAAGCCATAGAAAGACTATAATTGAAATTTTCCTTAGGATTTAGTGTCTTCCTTTTCTACATTTTCCCATATTCTATGATATTCATCCACTCAACCTTCATCACTAGCCTTGAGTGCCCAGCTAATCTCTTGACTTCTTCCCTTGCAAAACCTGTTTTTAGAAAGTCTATTTTAAAAGTATTTCAGCTTTCAAATTAATGGCCAATAGGTCAATGGATTACTTCTCCATAAAATATTTGCACATTTAATTGTGTGAAAGAAAAGTGTTTAATCTGTTAGGTTGAACCATGTGGGACTCCTTTTTTGGAGATCAAAATGGTTGAAAGTAGGTAAATACAGGTTCATAAAACTCAATCCATGATAATAATAAATTTTAGGCATTTGACATGCTCTGTATGGAGCCTCTGACATTTAAGGTGCCCTCTTAGCATTTCATAAACAGTGTTCAATTGCCCAGTAAATAAACAAAGAGCAGCGTATGTGCTAATGGTTCTAGTGCTTTGATAAACTTACCCAAAATCTGCTACCAGAAAGCAAGGAATTTTTGTTAACTTTAGCATACATTTAGTTTTATTGCTTATTACTTGTAAAATATATGGCACATAGCATCAGTATTTTTTTAATGTTTTGGATGTCTAAATATTTTATCCAGCCAGGATTGTAAAACTGTAAAACTAGCTTTCTTCCAACCAAACAGAACATCTCCTTGTATGTAAATCTTACAAAATATCCTTACCTGCTTTGGACATCTTTTCATCTTTTTTAGTTTCAGGTTCTGGGGCAAAACGTACACATAAACACGTACAAACAAAAGGGAAAAAAATAACATTTGAAAAATAGTCAGTACAAAGTGGATTAATAGGTAGGCTTCACTGATTTTTCTTGTCTGTTTTCAATTTCAATTATAGTTATATACTGTTATCAAAATATTAATGGAATATGTATCTTTGGTAAATTATAAAGTAACTTAAGCAAAAATACTTTGATTTTAAAATCCAGTTTGCAAAAAAGTTTCATGCTAATCAAGTAATTTGGCTTCTTGTCTTTAATAAAAGCCAGGACTTATAATTTATGCATTCTGAAAATATTGCAAATTAAAAAATTAATAAAAATTGCTCAGAAGAAAAACGTCATAAATTTTCCTAATTTGACCAACTTAAGCAATTTTGTCTTTGACTACCATACATTTAATTCATGGGGCTCCACCTAGTGGTTAATATAATTATTGTTTTCCTAGTATTTCCGTTAGTATCAATTTTATAAAATAAATCAATTTTACCTAAATTTAATATAATAATATAGACAATTGTGACATAAAGTATCTTGTTCTCTTATTGTCCTAGGACAATGTCTTTTGTCCAGAAATTCTGCATTCTAAAAACACCAGTATAGAATAAATTCATACCTTTTTTAAACTATTCAAGTAATACTCATAGCACAACCCTAATCAATAAGATAGTTGACTATATTTTCATGTTTCCAGTCTATCCTTTTATCTAACCAACTTTCCTAGGCTTTATAATTATCTGTTCTTGGTATAGAGTCTTCTTTTGATTAATGGAAGAGTCCAGGTACATTACAGTTTTCCTCCCTCCAAACAGCAGAAAAAACTGACTTCATAGTTGGAATACCTACTGAGCATAAACTATGTATAAGGGATAATGCTACCAGCTTTATTTGGGTTTTAGTCTAGCAGTGTCTCATTTTCTGTAGTTATAATTTTAAAAACTAATTTGTTTAACTGCAGAATTTTATATAATAAAGAATGTCATAGACTTTTACACACTACTTCCGATAATACTTGAGTGCACCTTCTGTAAAAAGTAGTATCAGTGCTATTAATGCACTCTGACACTCTTTGGCACATATTTCTCCCCCTTTTTGACACATTCACTTAGCTTGGTAGATACACCCTATTTTAATGTTTTCTATGTGCCACAGTATTATAGAAAATTTTGTTATTGTCTGTAATCACTCTTTAGATTTTAAGCTCCATTAGTGCAAGAACTGTGTTTTGTTTATTACTCAAATATCAGCACTGGGTGAAATATCTGATATGTGGTATATGATCAACAAATATTGTTGAAGGAATGAATGAGTGAAATAAATGGAATATATAGAATGACTAAAGGCTCCCTGTTGGGTATCTGAAGTCCTAGAAGAAGTTGATTCATCTTATGACTCTGCAACTAGAGATAAAAATTCAATGTCACATAGCTGTTGCATTTATATTTTATTTTAGAAACTTAAAAAAATAAGTGATGTCTTTATGTGTCCAATGATAGCAAATATGGCCTGCAACAATTCAATGATACCTTCAATTATTGGGTTTCCTGGTGCTATGTTTTGTCTCAGTCAGTTTAGGCTAAAGTTAATTCCTATCTAATTACTTAGTCTACAATACACAATTCTCTCTTTTGATGGTGAGTTCTGATGAGATTTTGGCTTCACTGGAAAGGAAACAACTTTTTCTTTTCTCTAATAGTTCTTTCTTTATTGAATCTATGCTAGGTCAACAGTACAGTTTAAACTTTCAAGCAAATTAGCACAATTCTAGTGATGAGAATTATTTTTTCTGGAGTACTTATGGCTCAAGTGCTGGTCAATTATTGACTTGCATTATTCCATTATTTTATGAAGTACATGCTATTTTAATCCCCATTTGGTAGATGAAGTGACTGAAACTTACGGAAGTTAGTTTGCGGAACCTCATTCAGCTGCTAAGTGGCAGAACCAAGATTCCATTTTCCCAACCTATTTCCCTTCACCCGGGTCATATCCCAAGGTCTGGATAGAATGATCTTGGTCTCCTTCTTAGTTCTGTTTCCGAAGTATGGCTAATTTGAATATTTGGATTTCTTAGAAATGAATTCCCACAAATTTAAATCTTTTCTTCCTAGGACACAGTTCATTAGCATTTTGCTCATCAATAATAGGTATCTATTTGAAACAGCCTTGCTTCCCACTCTGCACACGGCTTTCACTCCTGTCAATCATATTGTAATCTTGAAATGAAATCTTCTCAGCCTTAATGTTTGTCAAACGATCTTTTGGAAAAAATAAAAATTGTGGAGAATATTTATACCAACTATGGGTACAATACAACCAGAACCAACTTCGATCTTGTACACAGAATTTTGTAAGCACTCCTATGAAAAGGTATTATCTAACGTGTGGCTGTGGGCCCTCTTACTAGAATAGAACTACTGGCTTTAGTGTTATGTGAACAGTAATGCTAAAGATGACCTTAGGACAAGTTCTTTTGGTGTATGAAGAGTCGGTTTTTGGGTTTTATAATCTGACTTTAAAAGCAAGCTCATTTCCTAAGTTTTGTGACCTTGGGCATTACTTAAAACCTCAAGTCTTCATTCTGTCATTGCTAAAATGGAGAAAATAATGTAAAATTGATGTGAGAATTAGAAGTGATGTATATAAAGAGCTTAGCTATTTTTAAATTATGCTCATAAACTTAAATTGCATGATCTTTCAAAGTAATTTTCTCTTTTTTTTTTAAACAGAATTGGGATTTTACCCTTGAATACTCAAGGCAGGAATTGATATGTGAGAAAGTGGCAACGGATTTTCTAAGTTGAGCAGCTCTTTTATTAGGCTACTTGATTTTTAAGAACTCAGTGCACTCATTTTGTAGATGATATTTCTACTGACAGTAAAGTATTTTTTGAGCCATATGAGATTACAGTTTCTAACTAGGATTTATTTCAAGCCATATAAAAACAACTATATATATATTTACATATGTGTGTATATATATAAACTTTATATATGAAGCTTAATGAAAAGTTATAATGAGATGCTTCAGGAAACCAAGGACAGTTGTTAGTTAATACTGGCCATTGGGACTGGGAGGCCAGAGAGACAGCAGGCGAGCATTTATTTTTCATTCTGTCTTCACTGTTTAATTGTTTTCTACCACAATTATTCTTGTATAATAATACAATATCTAATTTCTGTAAACATTTGCCACTGAAGCCCTTCGTTTTGGGCTACACGTACAAGCATTGGGGAAATATGGAACCAAAAAGTCCCCATGCTAAGTTGTTGAGGCAGGCAGCCTGCCATTTCCTATGCAGCACTGACTTTTCCAGGCTGTTGATTTCATTTGTGAAATGTAAATTGCTGATGGGCCTGGGGAAGGGAGCTTCATTAGTGATTTTTCAATGTCATCAATAGTGTTTTCAAGTAGAATAAGCAGACCAAAACTTCAGCATGCAAGTGCTTAAGTCAGAAGGGCAGCAGTGGAGACAAACTCTGTTTAGGAGTCTCTGCTTTGTCTTCATAAAAAGAAAAGAAATAAATTTATTCAATATATAAATCCCAATAATCTGCATTATTTTCAGAATGCCTCTATTTTAAGTACTTTGCAAGGCAAAAGCTAAATATCATAGATTTTTTTCTCAATTTATTTTGTTATTATCACGGTTGTTTCTTTAGCACATAGATATCTCACATGTGGAATAAAATAAAATAATAATCATTATTATTATTTTGCACCAATGACACTTTGTATTTGCCACATGGTAGTCTCTAAGGTAAGTATATTATATATGTTATCTATATTTTATTGATATAATATTAAATATTCATTTGTTTATTAGCTCTCTAACCCTAGTAGCATATAAACTTCATGAGTCCTGGGATGATTTTTTTATTTTCCCTAATACATGATAGTGCTTAGACTGTTCTTTGCACAGAAGAGAGATCAACAAATATTTGTTGAAAAAATGGACAAATTACATAATCCTTACATACCACTCCTATGTGGTAAATGTTATTATTAGACTCAATTTACAGATAGCAATACTGAGACTTAATAATATGTTTAAATATATACTCCCTAGTAAGTGGCAAAACTGGGATTTGAATTCCGTTTCCAAAGTTTTAAGCACTTCAACACACTTCTATAACTAAAGTTGCTACTGATAGAATTAAAAGCTTTGAAGCATTTAATACATAAAAACTGTATAGCACACCACATTCTACTTCTTATAAGTGGTCTGTCTATATTATCTATGTTGTATTATCTACACAAACTACTAATAGTCATTAGGATTATAATTAACATATACAGTATAATCACAGAGGTTTCTATTTTTTTTCAAGCCAGTCTTTAAATCATGAATCGTATTATATAGTTTCCTACGTTGAGCTGGTAAAACTAAGCAGTCTGAGCATTAATAGAAAATGAATAACTCTCTCACACACTCCTGGAGTAGTATTCAATATTTAATGACATGGGAAGTTGTTATATTTAAAAGCGGGTCACAAAACCTACTCCTGTAAAATATATAAAGGAACATTAGCAGTGTTATCTCTGGTCAACCATAGGTGAATTTCAGTATGAGGGGGTCTGGAAAACGTGGTGGCTGAGGACATAGGTCTAAAATCAGACTGCCAGACACCAGTTCTGGATCCACATCAGGCAATTGTGTGACCTGGGCAAGTAACTCTCAGTGCTTCCATTTTCACGTTAATGCAAACAGGATTGCTGTGAAAATTAAACACTACACGTGAAGTACTTCGAATGGTGCCAGGTACAAAGCAAACGGTGGAGGTCAATCATTTCACTGATATTTTAAACTACTTTTCTCGCACTTTTCTAACCCAATTTTAAATACAATACGTATTTTAAAATTAAAAAAAACATTTTATTTGTTATAAGCAACATTCATACATTTATTCCAAACCCATGGTTTTTCCATCATTTGGACCTTTTTTTATTCAGGATCTCCTGAATATTTGGACTTTGATGAAAACCTGTTGCTACTACTTGCTATTACTACTATTACCACTACTACACACAAAGACACGCAATTTCACAACTTTGTTGTGGTCCTAACTATATTATTATTTAAAAGAAAATGTGATGCACTTTGCATGTGCCTGCACACACACACACTCACACTCTTCCACATTCTGTTTTCTGCATGAGGAAGTACTGCATGGAATATAGAAATACTGTCACTCCAAATAGCTTGACTTCAATGTTTCAGATATGAGATAAGCCTCCCTAAATAAGTCTTAAGAGGAATGCTTATTTTGCAAAGATTCAGTCTGCTATACTAGATGGTATCTGATTTCTTCTGCTGCAGACACAATGCTTTGTGGTCCGGATAAATATAACTGTGAAAAAGACAAGATTTCACTGCCTTTGAGTTTGATTTTGAACTTCTTCAGTTCATAGATTGCCAAAAGAAGAAATTGTTCTAACTTTGGGTGAGGTCACACAGTGAACCAACACCCAGCATCTGCTACTACATAGCTTTTCATCTTATCTGGCTGTACATTTCTTTACTTCAATATTTTACTGACTGTTTAACATTTTCCTTTCTCTTATTTAGCCACATCCATATGGTCTTGACACTTCATGCATTCTCTATGCTCCCATTTTCCCTGATTATCTTTCTGAATTAGTATCATCTTTGCTCATGAACTGAGGAATCCTTCCATGCATAATGAAGAAGCAAGGTGATGATATTCTCAAGTGATAGTTCAACTTCATTCATGTCAAGGAGTTGCAGAGATCATTTTTGCCACTGCAGTTGAAGAAAAACAAACAAACAGGCAAAAGCTAAGCAAGCAAACAATTCCTCAGTTTGAAATTTATTTCCTTTTTAACCAAATAATCTAATATGTGATCTCTGAAACTCTCCAAATTTCCATTTTCTAATCTTTTGAAATGGAAACATTATAATTATCTCAGGAATTTGTGGCTAGAATTAGACTAAATGATTTAACAAATATTTCCTGAGTATTCAAGTACTAATATTGAAATAACAGATCTCCATTGATTAGATGACAATTTGGTCTGCCTTATTGAAGGGAGCATTGGCGAACACTTCACTTTTCCCCTGTCCCAGCTCTTTTTTTAAAATTTATTATTATTATTATTATTATTATTATTATTATTATTATTATTTTTGAGACGGAGTCTCACTGTCACCCAGGCTGGAGTGCAGTGGCGCAATCTCGGCTCACTGCAACCTCCACCTCCTGGATTCATGCCATTCTCCTGCCTCAGCCTCCCCAGCAGCTGGGACTATAGGTGCCTACCACCACGCCCAGCTAATTTTTGTATTTTTAGTAGAGACGGGGTTTCACCATATTAGCCAGGATGGTGTTGATCTCCTGACCTCGTGATCCACCTGCCTCAGCCTCCCAAAGTGCTGGGATTATAGGCATAAGCCACCGCGCTTGGCCTGTCCCACCTTTTTTCACTGTCTTGTGAGATCTTTGAGGACAGGGAATATGTCTTTTCATCTTTGGAGCCTCACTGCCTAGAATAGCCACAGAACATTATGTGAACACTCAAAAATTGTTACGGATATATAACAAAATTAAAATGCTGTTTCAAAATGACAGGAAAATCAAAATGCTAACTTCATTTTTAGGGTGTTTAAACCAAAATATGAAGCAGAATCCCTGTCTCACTATCCAAAACCCTTACATGTATGGAAAAACACATTAGAACTGACTCACTAGACGTTGAACCCTGGTGTGCATTATCTTCAGATATTTATATTTAATTTGTCTGTCTAGTAAAATTATTCAGAGTGGCTACACGAACTAATTTGTTTATTGTTAGTTATTTCAGGAAGCAAGAGCCTCAAACTACTGACATCACTGCTTTTCCCATAACACATAGACACACACACAAGCACACCTCCACACACACATGTTCTCTGTCTCTGTCTCTGTCCCTCTTACACACCTCTCAAACCCATTAAGTCAACAACAGAAACAAAACAAAAACAATTATGGTTGATAAGTTTCTGTAGGTGTAGTTCTAAAATGGCTCCAGTTTGTAATGCAGGCGCTTAAGTCATGACTCAATGCTTTATGCCTAAGTCCTGATTCTGCAATCCTTCCTTGGCAAAATTCCCAATGGAGTTTGATGCTTACAGAAAAACTTTGCTGAGTGGACATTAAACACATAAAATGGGCCACAGGGCATTCTCTCTTTTCAGCACAGAATAAATGCATACATTGTCCCTGCCTTATTCTGTCATCATTTCATTTTCATGGTCTTTTGTCTTTTGTATATGCTAAATGCAATGTACCACACTTCTGATAGTGTCACTCTGCTTTTATCTGTTCTTTCTTTTATGCCTACTTATATGCTCCTCATTATTCTTTCCTTCCCTGAAGCTTCCCAGTGTGAAGAGTGTGCATTTAAAATAGGTGAGATATAATTGGAGGTGGCTGCATGCATTTGTAGGTCCTGCAGAAATTGTCAGAATCAGGCCCTGTGATGTTATTTGAAGATGGCAGATGGCGAGTTGGAAATATTTCAGCTAATGAGCCTGCTGACTTTAAACCATTCAATGAGTTCAGAAAGTTGTGCAAAGGCCACTTACCAAGGTAAACAAGCAGGCATTCCTTAGTTTTCCTTTACTGAGGGGAAGTCACTAGACTCTTGCTTGTTTTTCTGGGTACCAGTATCGATTTTCTTGAATTTGAAGTAAGAATAATCAATTAAGTAGATAAAATGTCATAGGTTTAAGTATGAATCATCTTATATCTTGTTCAAAAATGTAAAAATAATAGAAGACTTACAGTAGAAATAATATATTTTTTAAAATGTTAATGGACAGAAGCCAGGTGTGTGGTGCATGCTTATAATTCCAGGTACTCAGGAGGCTGAGGCAGGAGGAGCTCTTGAGCCCAGGAGTTTGAGGCCAGCCTGAGCAACAGAGCAAGACCTCATCTCTGAAAAGAAAAAACAAAAAACAAAACGAAACAAAATAAAACAAAAAAACCTTCAAGGAGAGAAGCATATTAGAACATATGCATAAAATAGCTTGGAGTGATAAGACAGGTTGCAGTGAGATTGTGACCCATTCTTTCATTCAATTCTGCCTTTTGAATGAGGGCTGATATTTAAAAAATACCAAGGAATGAATATTGGAGCTCTACACTTAGAGTTGCACGTGTATTTCACCTACATACAGCTGTACACATGTTGCTGTATATTAACATTTTGGATGAAGATTATAAAAATTCTCAGTGCTTGGATACAATACTTTTGTATAGCTAATGCTTGCAGAGAAAATCCTGGCCCCCTCAACTACTTTTGAAAATAATACATGACCTCTTTCCATCCTATCAACTTGACATTTTGGCATAATGGACATAACAAGAAATGTGTTAGGCTGTAAATTGCTGCTTAAAGTGAAAGTGCTACTGTTATGGGTCCAACTTTCACTTTAACAATTCTTCAGAAAATGAGTAATCATGGATTTTAAAGGCATCTTCTAAGATTTTATTCTTTAGAATCCTGATTGGTCTTTTTTATTAATCAACAGATTATCTGTAATCTTCCTTCATGCCTAGCAAACACAATAAAATTATTACAAAGACAAAAATTTTGACTATGTGTTAGGATAAGTTTTGCTAATATATTCCAATATTGAAAAAAAGAAAAATAAGATTATTTTTAGTGGTTATTAAGTCTGATACTAAGTAGCTAATTCAGCATAAAAATCTTGGCTAATCATTTAATCTTTGGGCATCAATTTCTTCACTGTTAACATGACAGTTGTAGTATTTCTCCTTAAAATACTTCAGGGCAGAATTAAATCATGCTAAGAATTTATATTAGAGACTAGGCACCAAGAAACTCAGAAAAAGTACAGAAAAATTAAAATACTAATGTTGATTACTAAACCAAATATTCTAGACCCAGTATTAGACTATGAAAATATTTTACTGAAAGTTCTAATATTTCGTAGAGGAGGACAATGACATGAGTGAAGATGACATATGTGAATTGCAATACTATTGGAACATTTTAAAAATTTAGAGTAGTGAATAAAATATATAGATTAATTGAATCTTCTTAGAGTTATCAGTTTCAAAAGACAAAATAAATCCCTGTTATATCAGTTTAAACAGAATCAGAACACTAAATAACTTTAAAACTGGAACTTTGGGGACAAAACTCCACCTTTTTATGTTAATCACTGGACACTGGAATATTTATGGTCTCTAGATGTAGCAAGACAAAAACACTGGTTAAGTTTACTATGGCATATGTTGAATTAACTTATTCTGAAAGGTGCCTTTTGGGATAAGTCTCTGAGACCAACTGTCTTGATTCTTTCTTATAAAAGCAGACTACACAACACATACTCCTTCAATAAATCATTGAGCTTTCCCCTGCAGGTTTGTATCTGAATTAATCAATATTAAAATAGTGCTTATAGAAACAACATTGTACCTTTGCAATGAGACACAAAAACTAGTGACAACTGAACATGCAAAATTACCAATTTCTGTAAAATAAATAGCAGAGAGAGTGATTACTAGTATTGGACTTCAAGTTTGTTGGTAGTACTCATGTTAAGAAGAAGGTTTAGGGTTCCTCAATTTTGAGACTTAACTTTATCCTCTCCTAACATTATTTCTCTTACTCTTGGCTCTTTCCATAAGAAATCGCACCCATGCATGGCATGCCAACATCTTCAAATTCAGAATACAGGTTCACAAGTGTATCTCCAACCCAAATATTTTTTCTGATACTCACACCCAAATAGCCAGCTTCCAGCTCTAGATTTCTACTAGAATGTCCTAAAAATACCTCAAATTCAGCATGGTGTAAAAGAGATATAGAGTCTTATATTCTAAGCATGTCCTTTTCTAGTATCCCATCTCAAAGTCCCATCTCACTTCAGTGTAGCATCTCATTTTGATTGAATCTGGCTTCTAACATGTTGAAGCAATTTTGAAATGTATTTCTACTTTTTAAAATATTATCAGGTCCATGACATTGAATTCTGAGTATATTAATATTTCTCTTAAAGTCACCCAAATTTTCTTATAGACATACACCTACTATTAATGTTTGGTTTACATGAATGTCCTATACAAAACTTCATGTAGTTTAGATAGATTTCAGCTATTGTTTCTCTATCATCTATTTGAATTGAACTGTGTCATAGAAATAAATTGTTAGTCCACATTATAAATTAACCAAGAAGTACTGATTACAAATATCACCCACATTTTTCAGTGATCATAAATTTATTATTTGGTCATTTGCTCAATTAGCTATTTTTAAAATAAATAGAAACTGGCAAATTTTAAATTTCAAGTGCTTGCTTTCATTTTAAAAATAAAATCTGCAGATTTTTAAAATATCAGTTATTTTTCTTTGTTCATTATATGCATTGCAATATATTTTTCTAATGTGTGGCTAATCTTCCTCTTCTGGATTTGCTCTCTTTGTGTCTTAAGAAATTCTACTGTAACCAAAAGCTATATATATTCTTCTCTATTTTCCTGAATGTTTGAAGTTTGTCTTCTAGCATCAAGTCTTGAAGATGTCTTAAATTTCTTTTTGCGCAAATATGAGAGCGGAATTTAAATTTTTTCCTACATGAGAAACAAGTGTGGTTTTCCATTTATTTTCTCAATGATACATCTGTCATCTAATGTATTTTCCTACATTTAGGGCTTCATTTCTGGGCTCGCTGTTATGTTCTCTCAGTGTGCGTTCCTATACCCGTACTATTTCCATATCATTTTAATTAAAGCAATTCTATAAAAAATAACTATATTTGGTCAGGCAATTCCACCTTATTATTTTTCAAAAAATATTTTCTTATTTTTGTCCTTTCAAGTTTAAAGACATTTAAGAAAACTTTTTTCTACTCTAAAAATACCGTTGATATTTTTTATATGAATCTATACATTACTTTAAAGGGAAATGATCACTTCCAGATAGGAAAAGGAAATATTGCTTCACTTATTCAAGCCTTTAAAAATGGATTTCAAAATTTTTTTCATAATTTTTACATGAAAATGTCATCAATATTTAGATACATTTATTCTTTGTAACAGAGTTTGTTTCCATTGTGAATAGGGTACCCTGAACGAATAAATTTTTGAATTATTCATCACTTATGTTTAGGAATGCTAAACATTAATTTTCATAGGATGATCTTGTATCCAGAAGTTTTGCTAATTTCTCTTATTCATACTAATATTTTGTTTGTGGGTAAATTTGGAATATTTATGAAGATGGCTTTTCTGCAAATACAACTTTGATTATCCCTTTTCAATTCTTATACCTTTTCTCCATTGGTACTATATCTGATACAATGTTGAAATCAAGATGACATTTTTAGTGTGTTTTATATTTAATATTTAAACATAAGTACATATGTATAATTTGTAATGCTATATAAATGCATATATGTGATCATATTACACATATTCATGCACATTGATTTTTGCGTTGTTTTGTTTAGTCAAAATCATTTTAAAATGCTTGTATCTCTCCCATAAGCCATATTATCAACCTAGTCTAAATCACTCCATATTTTCCACATTTTCTCCATACTGTTATAATAATCTTCAAACATATGGAAAGGCATGTAATGGCAGAAAATCCTGACTAGCCAACACAACTTGTTCTTCATTCCTTCTCTCACCCAGAATCCCTCGCAGTTAAATGTATCAAGAATCTAAATCTTCCCTGGTGGCAAGGGGATGGGACTGATGCATGCCACCTGGCACGCATGCCCTCACACTTCCTCCTCCTTTGTGCTGGCTGCAATGCCAATGCATAGGCAGAACTTGGAACCATGTACTGAAGATGGCAGAGGCCGCCCCAAATGACCACACACCCCCAACCAACACCAACACCACCTGCAAACCTATCTTATTATTAATTTTTTCATATGATTTGGAATTTCAGGTTATATTTCAGCCTGAGAACTGTATTATTGTGGTTGTTGCCGTTTTTGTTTCTTTTTTTCCTATGAATTGCGATTGTGTGATTCCTTCCTCTCGCACCAATCTTTCACTGGGCCTCTAGTCCCAAGTACACTTTGATGGCTCCAAAACTTGCCTCATAGTGTTAGTAGGGATATTCCTGAACAAGTCTCTATTTCAATACATGACTTGCTTCAGGTCCTAGATGAGGGGCTGAGTTTATTTTCTCCACTTTCCTGGGTCTGCACTTTCCTATTAACTGTAGCACCAGAGAACTATTTACGGCAACTGTTTTTCACCTTCTTTTCTTGAATGGGGGTTCCACTTCAGTATCTGGTTAATTGCATTGAGACTTGTGTAAAATCCCTGCTTATTCCAATGAACGTTATTGCCTTATGTGATCCTGGTCAGCAATTCTGTTTAAGGATCCAGAGCCCAGCACCCCCGCAGCTTCTTTTTGGCTTACTACCTTGTTTTCACTCTGTTTTTCAACCAAGTAAATGTTTCCCTCTTGATTGCATATGGTTACGGCTTTTAAAATTTATCCATCTATAATTTATCTTTCATTTTAAGGAATGAAGATGAGAAGAGCCTTCAAATCTTGAAAATGCACTTCCATATTCCTGGAAAATGAGAGTTAAAAAGCCAGAGTCCTTGTCTCCACTACATGATTACTGAATCAGAATCTTTGGTCATGAGTCCTGAACGACATTTTTATTTTAATTCAATAGGAGAGTTTAGTGCATAACCAGATTTAAGAGAATAAATTAGAACATGGTTCTACCTTTACTCAAAGAAGAATATGCTGTGGCTATTTAAGTATTATAAGATTAACACATAACAGATTAATTTCTCATTTAATTGTGTATGATATTGCCATATTATGTCTGATGCTCCTTTAATGAAACCTTTTAAGGAGCTCTCTAATTACTAAAAGAAGTGTTAAAACTTTAACCTAGAAAATTTTCTTTTAAAGTTAATTCCTGTTACTAAAGATTTATTTGAGATGTGACTGTTCCAATATGTGTGAGATGGTGGTGATCCCCTTTAATGAAAGAGAAAGCCTAATGAGACAACACCTCCTACAGGTGAAAGTTAAAGTCACTTTGCATGATATGATTACACTTTGCTGATAAAATCTCCAGGAGTTGTCATTTACATTCAGCATCATAGGTCTGAATTTTGGCTGGTTGTTTGGAACAAAAAAGAAGAAGAATTTCAATGCATAAAATTTTAAAGCACCATTAATATTCTGGCAAATTTCTAGGAGACATCACTGTCACTCTAAGTGGGAAAAATAAAAATGACTAATTAAAATCCTGACAGTAATTTAAGGGCTGAATTTCTAAAATAATAATAATAATAAAATGGGATTTAAAATAATTATTCTGGTGATTACATTTAATTGTCTTTTTGTACAAATCACTGTCTAGTCATAGCCCTTACTAAAAATTAGGAAGAAAATGGTACAATGAAGTAAAACTGAGGATTTAGCTAATGCATCTTCTTCAACATGATATATGTTGCCCCTGTCCCCATCACTAATATCTCTAACGATGAAATGGCTGGTGCTAGATCCAACCACCTGGTATGGGATTATGGAAAGAAGATACTTGGAAGAGTAGAAGAAGATTCTTTGAGAATATATTTCCAGACATCAGAGACTAAAATAAACAAAAACTAAACTTTTAAAATAAAAATATTGATATATATAATATTCCTGTCTGCACCTTTTAAAAATATTTCCACCTTATATTGGCAAAAGAAATATAGCATCATTGTGTGATTAAATTACTTAATGGTATCTAACCATTTCAACTTACATTGTTATATCCAAGTCAACCAACAGTAAGATCATGTTAAAGAAACCTAGAATTTATTTAAGATGAATTAATGTTTTGGTAAGTCCAGGATATTTTTCTTACCTTTCTCAATTAATTTAAACTTTGAATACTAAAATGTAGCACGATTTATCTGCCTGTTGGACATTTAACATAACATATATGAATCCTCTTGCAAGGCAAAATATACTAATTTACATATCGTGTCAAAATAACAAAATAGTGTGCAGCAATAAACTAACTCTCTCATAAAAGCCGATGAAAAGAAAGTTTTAGTTATAATAACACATTTCTAAAAGAAGGCATAAGTTCCTTAATAGGTTTGAAGCTATGTTGCTTTAATTTTTTTTGATTAGATACATATGGGGCTGAGAAAAAAAATCATGTTGTGTTCTTACATTTCATTAAATAACAATTATGTTTATTTTAACATTAGTTGCAAAATTAGGAAAGTATGACTTAAGGCTATAGTTTTATACATTGCTACACTCACTAATGGTGGCTCTCCATGCATCCTTCATTCCTCTTACTCATCTTTCTGTCAGCTTTCCTCTCCCGCTGATCTCCATACCACTTCCAACCCCAATCCATGCTTATGTAAGCTCACCAGAAATCCTTCTCTTATCAATAAAAAAATCCCAGTAAGATGAAAGTTGTACAGCTAAGTCCCTCTACTAAGTGTGGTCAATATTTTACAGGGAAACAGGCTCTTCTTCTAACATTCACAATAGTAAGTACATTACTTGGTTTTTATAATTTCAGTGACTCATTAATATGGGCACAATGGAAAATTTTTAATATTTACTTTGACACCAGGAAATATTAGACAACTCTGAGCACAATGCCATGTCCACAGAATATACTTGGATTAGTTAGAAATTTTATGTTTTACGTTGAATTTGGCAAGTTTATTTGTGTTTTAGGGAACATAATTTGATGTATGGCATATCAGAATCCACCTTACTTCAAGCCTATCACAATGGAAAGGCTAGAGATGCAACATGGCACATTAGAAAAAGAACAGTGCTTGATTTAGGAGATTGAAGTTCTAATGCTGTCTCCACTACAAACTGTAACTTTGAAAAAGGTCTTGACTATTTGGGCTTCATTTGTCTGTAAGACAAGAGGATTGGACTACAGTTTCTAAGTTCCTCCTAGCTATACAATATGTTTAGGATTCTATTATATATGAACTTACAGAATCAAAAGATTTCACTGAGAAATTTTTACTATTTCATTTTATCTTAAATCTTTGGTTTCCATGGCTATTCCTAAGATTCGCTCTTTGGATATTTATAAAATGTAGATTCCTCCATTTCACTACAGACCCATGGAATCAGAATAGCATAAGACTTTTTAAAATTTTTGCAGTATTTCTGATGCAGCTACACTTTCCTTTTTTGTTTCATAGTACAATTTAGAATTTAATGATGGAATATAAATCTTTTTTCTTTTGCTTAAAAACATATGAAGGCTATGGTTTTGAGAGCCTGAAAATGAAATGATTCATTACTTTGTTGCAAATAACTGAATATGCAAAAGGCAGATCAATGTGGCTTCACATTTCATTGTATAATATTACCTTTTTCCTTTAGGGAAGCTGGAACTTTCTCTTCTTTCCCTTTAATAGGTTCTGAAAAGAAACATCGGACATTTATTTGAAGCCAAGACAAAGAGATTTTCAGATACCTATAAATGAAGTCAGTAAGCTGAAAGTATCAGTAAGCTGAAAGTAAGTGGAAACTTTATAATGCACTTTAAAAATGGTTTTACTCATATAGGGACAAAGAAACAACAGTATAGAATACAATAAGCCATAAACTGATCATTTTTCCTTGGCACAAACATAAGTTGTTCAACAAGTTATAATCTACTTGTTTAAGAGAATGAGTATTTGGATGGATAGGACCTTATTTATGTGTAATTTTTAAAAATCGCATGACTTCAGCATGCAGAAGTCTTCCAAAACTGTTTAATCAGCACAAAGCCAGTTTATTTCTTTTAGCCCACATTTTGTCAAAAAATAAACAACCAAATAGAAAATCCTGCACATATCATGTATGTAGCGGTGTTTTAGTCTTCAGACTCAAACTTGAGAATAAGACCAAAATAAAATTTGAGAGACAATTTCAGCTAGGAGACAATTTTACCTATAAACTTTTAAAGTCTTCAAAATGAAGGCCTTGGTTGAAGTAACTCAAATAAAACTTTACTTATTCTACCACCTTCCAAACACATCTTCAGTGTAATTCAGACCATATCATGGGCTCCAGACACATATATGGTCAATGTCTTTAACATCATTATATTCAACAGCCTAATAAAAAATAAAACATTAACACATTTTATGCTTCCTCTGCAACATTAATGCTCAATAAAGATTTTATGGATGAAAATGACTTTTAATGCAATTATAAGGGAAAGAAAGAGATCTATCCTTTCAGCCCCTTTTTCTATTCCCACCATATTATTTGGGTGAAAATACAGAGACTGTGATGGTGGTGCTTGTAAATGGAGATGCCACTCTAGTAAACACTTAGAATTAACTGAGTCCAGATAGTTTTGGATGTATTAAGAATTGATTTTGAGGTTTTATTAAAAGAACTGCATCTTTCAAAGCAAAATTTTCTTGTCGGGTAAGCTGTAGCTTTAGATATCCATAAGCATGTAGAATTTTTTTTAATGTCTTTGGTGACAAATAAATGCCCATGTTGCTATTTATGGTGTTGTGTATAAATAGTGCTATTTTTCCATACTTCAGCATATGAAGATGAAATCAAGAGTCATGAATTGAACAAACACACTGGAAAGCTTCATTAACTGTTTTTCAAGCTGATGGGGGTAATTTACTGCTCTTGCACTTCCTGGCTAAGCCAAAAGGATTAATGTGTTGTGAAATGAGGAGTGGTGGTGGGAACAGACTCCCAGTGGGGCAGGAGAGTGCAATGCTTCGAGTCTCAGAATTCAAGATTCAGCATGTTGATCTAAATGGGTGAGTGTGTATGTTTGTGTGAGGGTTTAGTATTTATAAAATACAGGACCTAGAATGAGAGCCCACAGAACTACATTGATTTTAGTGGAGAGAGAAGGAAAGGGTGGAATAACAGATACACTTTTATAGGACATTCAAAGATTGTAAACCCAATACCGTAAGCTTTGGAGAATGATCTCAGAAAATAAAAGTGATTTCTATTTCCAAGTTTGCTACTGGCAAGATGCCTTCGGTTCCTAGGCTGAGTCATCACTTGCACTGACTTTCCTACAGATCATTGATTCTCAGCATCCACTTTGTCCTCAGGGGCTTTTGTCCCAGTTTAGGAAGTCCACAGACTTCTCTGAGGAATCTCTAACTACCCAAGGAAGTGAGGAGGATATTAAATCTGACAAAAAAGTGAAGAGATTATTACATGGAAACTCTGCACTTCTGCATTAGGAAGGAGAGATACATCAGTGGTTTGAGTCAACTCTTATGACACTTTTCAGCTTATCTATCTTGTTTGTCAAAAGCAGAATATTGGAAAACATTTTTTAAAATATAGTAGTTTCTTTGTGTTTGTCCAAGAGTCTATAGGATGATTTATGGTTCTTGATTATCAGGGCCTATAAAGTGTTTAATGGTGCTGGGATATAAAGTGGAACTCTGTCAAAATTATTGAGGCACGAACATTGTTATGGAAAAATAATTCCCTAAGGGATAGGAAAATGGTTTCAGATTTTCCACTGCCTTACACTACCCCCAGAGACAAAGGCAGTAACGAGGAACTGGGTTAGTATCCATGATGAAGTACAGCATGGCTGGGGAGGAGTTTCGAAGTCTTCAGACAACTTACCCCAACCTTAATTCTAGCTTTGAATTGTTGAGTGGAAATGGCCAAGAAAAACATGTTGAGGACAAATGGAAGTTGGGGGATCATAAGTTGCACAGTCCTGAGCATCAGTAAAAGAAGATCAGTTCTGTCAAGATTCCTCTGCCATTATATCCAAACATACACAGACGTGGGGGGCAAAACTAGTCAATAATTTTGATGTCCAATTGTATTACTCCAATAACAGAGAAACCTAAAAGTGCTATTATTTTGTTCTCAGAGGAGGAGAAATTACTTAACTACTGTGTTGCCTCTTTGGATTCAGTTTGCTGTTTCTCAGTCCGTAGGTGAATCTTCCATACTCAGATATGTCAGACCAGGAGTTAGAAACAAGTTATCAGGGATAGGGTTGAATGCCACAAGGAAGATAACCAATATCATGGGTCACTAACAGGATTTTCTGTTTTCTGGATGGTCAAGACCTCAAAAGCAGGACTATGTCCCTGTGGGTGTGTTGAAAAGGCTTAAGTGAGTCCACTGGTCCAGGAAAGTCAATAACTGAACCAGCAACAAAAGTTGGCAAGACATATCATTCTCCTGATTTTTTTTTTCTTTGCAACGGTCATCCCTAGAACTCTATATGTCCTTACTTAAAGGCAAAAGCCTAATAATGTATCTCTGAATGCCCCCAGTGACTCATGGTTATCACAACTCTGATAAATGCAGCTCCAAATGATTTCCTTGTAATAATGCTGGTTTTAAACTTGAAGCATCATTTTAAAATGAATTTGGATGTACACATGCAGGCGGAATGTATGAGTAACAGGCAAATGTAGGTAATCTCTTAGTGGTTTAATAGAAGTAACTGACAAAATACAACGCTAATAAAATAAGTGAATTTTTAGCAAGTGAAATTGCTGCATTCTGATTCTGCCACAGCTTAGCAGCAGGCTTCAAAGAGACTCTCCAAAAACAATAACACTGCAGAGGCTTTTGAAGTCCCTAAAATCTTATAGGTAATATTAAAATTTTGTCTTTGATACTTAGTAATGATAAATTATATTCAGGAAAAATGAAATTCTTCTAAAACAGTATTCGACTTATATATAATAAAGGCATTTTGGGGGCATTAATGCAGTTTGAATTAAAAAGTAGATATATTTATATCATCCTAAATCAATAATCATATGCTGCAAACCTTTATATATGTAATTTTCTAGTGATTGAAATTCTAGAGAAAATAGTAGATAATTTTACATTGAGCAAAAACTTTTCAGTAAGGAATGTCAATTGTAAAATTATCTACTATTTTCTCTAACATTTTCAATCACTGGAAAATTACGTATATAAGGTTTGCAGCATGTGATTATTGATTTAGGATGATGTAAAATATACAATTGCAACAATATTAGAAATTACAAAAGCCTACTTAATGAAGTGGTCAGTGTGGATTTATTTCCTCCAGATAATGTTTTCCAGGACAGATTTTAACAATTATTCCTCCAACTAGTTTAAGCTTTGGTACATGTGAAGATTTTAAGTAATAGTTAAAAGTTTTGATAATTATCATTGCCCAAAGTGTAGCTTTGGAGTTAAGCCCCAACCTTTCTTTTGAGCTGCTTTCATAGTGAACAATAACATGTGGTTCAAGTATTCCTGTGATATAAGTGCAGACTAAAATAAAGACATTAATGTCCCCAAATGTCTTCCATATGACAATGGAAGAAGGAAATATTTAGATTTTACAAATTGTGAACTCCAAATTATGTATGTATATCTTTTCCTGATAGTATGTTTTCATGACAATTTTGATTTTCACAAAATCAAGGACGCTGTTTTTATTGACTTTCATATTACATGAGAGTGGAGGCTGGGAATGGAACTGTCGCAAAATACAGGTAATCACTAAAGAAAAATAGATTAAGCCCATCTGTGAGAATTAAGTGTAGTTACCCCAATAGCAAAAGAACTTAGACTATTTTTCATAGTGTATGTCCAATGCATCTATGCCAAATAGATTTTTTTTTGTTTTTATAAGGTCTACACTCAAAGCAAAAGTGCTTTTGTGAATACAAATATAAGACCCCTATTCTAAGACAAAGGCAGTGTCTGTGTTAAAGTGAAAAAATGGAATTTAAAGTAGGGCAGAGATGACTTTGACTCTTACCTTTCCCTATTACCCACAGTGTGACACTGAGTAACTTATATTGCTAGACCTCACATTCCTTGTTCACAAAAATAGAGGTAGCTAGCACATTTTGCTGAAACAAATATGTAAAGTAGGTATCAAGGTGCCTGGCAAAGAGTAGATGCACCACTTTTGGACTTCCTCCAAACAATTACCACACCTTTAAAGGCAAACTCTTCACCTTCTCATTTACATTTCATATTATTTCTCCAGGAAAAAACTTCCTGGTCACACAAAATTGATCAAAATCTCCTATTACACCCTCTCATAGCATCCTGTGTACCTCCTTTATGATTATTATAATTTTAATTATGTTATTAATACTGTAACTTCTCAGAGATTATAGTCTATGCTTTTTTTGCATCCTTTGTGTCTAGTATCTGAATTAATTACATCATATTAGATGCAGAATAAATAATTGTTGAATATAGCACTGATCAGTCCACACAAAAAATTAAGGTGAATAATATCAGACCTTGAGATTTAAATAGATGAATTTTAGTTAATTTATTATATATACATATATTACACACACTTATATAATAAATTATATGTTATAGTACATATATATAACACATATATACGTACTACAGAATAAATTATAAATATTACAAGTGTGTTAATTCAGAAGAGAGGGGACTCATTGAAGGCTGAAATAGGTAGAGAAGGCTTGATGCTGTATGTGGACATTATTCTTAGGATCAGTTTAAATATTTACATAGGCAAAGAGGAAAGGCAGTTAGTCCATTCAGGAGATGGAAGTTACAAAATTTAATTAAGAATTTCATGCTTTTTCATAGCAATATAGAGTGTGACAAGACTAACGCAGGCAGAATATGCCTCAGAGCATTTGAAAATATCAGAATGCAGAGTTCTAATTACCAAATATTACTTCCTATTTGTAGCTTTGCCATTTTTGTTGTCATCATCATCTCCAATGTTTACCAAGTGCTTGGGATATATTATGCACTAAATATATATTTTAGGAATAGAAAGGAGAGAATCAGAGAATTTGGGGACAAGTGCTTCTTAATATTCTTTACTTCCCTTCTATATTTTTTATCTTTTTCATTAAAAAAACCTTTTTTCATTTTTCTTTCTTTTCTCTTTGGGATTTTTGGGAATTGTAATCAGAGCACTTTCTTGGTAATAATGAGAAGAAATAATTTTAGAGACAAACAAATAAACACAAGTTTTTAAAAATATGTGTGTGACCTCTGCAGTTCTGGTTTACATATTTGCAAAGGGGATGCAGCTAATGTACTGTGTTCTCAATAATATATATTTCCTAATAAATTTGTAATATTATATTAAATTAACTCTGTTACCTTTATCTTTCAGAATTGAAGAAGTCTTCCCAGATTTTTCTTTTCTAATTTCTGCAAGAGAGATCATGGGAAGAAAAAGTTACAAGGAATAAGAGAGGAAAAAAATGCAAGTCTCTTCATGTGTTTTGTATACTGAGGCTTAAGATCACAGGGCATCTGAGTTGATATTCACAATACAAATGTCTCCAGGCATATGTTGTCTATAAGACATTGGACTAAATATGTAAACAATAGAAAATAAGCCCATGAATTTCTATCACTAGTACAGACTATGCCATATATACAAAAAAAGGTACATGTAAACTAACATGGGCTTTGAAGAAGAAAGATATAAGAATGATAGCTAACATTGTCTACTTACTACGTGTCAGGCAATATTCTCTACCATTTTCTCATTCAGTGCTCACAACTCCATGAGGTATATAGGTTCTGTTATTATTTCTACTTTTCACATAAATTGATTAAATAACTTTCCAAGATCTTTAAATAGGAGACCTTGGATTTGAACCACTATATCTATGCTCTCAAGCACATAAGTACTGGCTCCAGTAGTTGCATAATGGGCTCAGTGAAGGATGTAAGAAAGTATGTAGTACTGAGGCAGAACTTGACAAGGGAAAGAAATTAGACCCACAAACATGAAATGGAAAGAAAGACACATTTTAGAGAAACAGAGAGAGAATGGGAGGCCTGGACAGGGCAGATCTATCAGTTTTGCTCCGTAGGCCATTTACAACCAACAGAAGTGGAGGTGATGCTGTGTGACTTCCAAGGCGAAATCAAAAAAGGTCATGCAGTATTCACCTGCTAATCTAGTGACACCTGCTTTGGGAAATGCAGCTGCCATGTGAGTAATCTAATTAACACCACCATGCTGGAGAGGCTACATCTAGGCAGTCCAACTAACAGCCCCAGCTGAGCTCCCAGCCAACAGCTAGTATCAACTGCCAGCCCTCTGAGAGAGCCATCCTTCACATCCAGGAGTCAGTGATTTTACAAGACTGCAGCCCAGCCAGACATCTGACTGCAATCACATGAGATAATCAAGTGAAAACAGCCTACTGTATCCTCCTGAAGTCCTGACCTACTAAATGATGAACAACATGAAATCAGCTGTTGTTTTACACCACTAAGTTTTGAAATGGCCTGTATGTAGAAATAGTTGTGAAAAGGTAGTTAATCAACAAAGAGCAAAATATTTGACCCTGTGAAAAGTACTCCAGTAAAGTTATATAGATAATAGGGAAAGAATTTATTAATTCTAATTTTAAAATTGGGGAAGGTTTTCACTGAGAGTACGCCATTTAGATTTAGGCTTATAAATTGGGTGGAATTTCATTGGCCAGGAAATGCCATTTTAATTGCATAACTGTAAGTAGATGTATTAGGGGTTTTTTTTTGTTTTTGTTTTTGTTTTTTTTGTCTTGCTTTGTTGCCAGGCTGGAGTGCAGTGGCGCGATCTTGGCTCACTGAAATCCCAGGTTCAAGTGATTCTCCTGCCTCAGCCTCCCAAGTAGCTGGGATTACAGGCACCCACCAGCATGCCCGGCTAATTTTTGTATTTTTAGTAGAGACAGGTTTTCACCATACTAGCCAGGCTGGTCTCGAACTCCTGACCTCAAGTGATCTGCTGAACTCGGTCTCCCAAAGTGCTGGGATTACAGGCGTGAGCCACCATGCCCGGCCATGTATTAGGTTTTTTTGTTTTTGTTTTTGTTTTTTAAGCTGAGAATGGTTCTTAGAGTTCTTACTTGGCTTACAGTAGGATAATTTTCCCTCACCTGAGATACAAAATGTAAAAAGGAGAGGTCTTTGGAGGAAGACATTATTTCTGTTTTGAAAGTATTGTGTTTCATATGTCAACAGGACGCCCAAAAAGGAAACATCCAGCAAGCAGTTGGAAAAAACAGGTGAAGTGCAGATCATTTACAGGTGCTGCAAAGCAACCTACAGTATTCCTTATAAATGAAAACTATCAATATAACTAGTAGCTTGTTTTTTCAAAGGCCTCAAATTAATCTTATTTGCTTTGTTCACACAGACTGACTTGACTTATTAAGTAAACCAATTATACAAAAGCAAAATAAACCAGAAAGTGAACAATTATTTTCTTAATAATATGTGACTGGTGAAAACACACCCACACACTAAGACTAGTGTTCTCAGCTGTTCTTTTTACCGGCATGTTTCAAATCCAATCTCATATAATTTGTCTGTATTGACATATCATTTATATATTGGTAGTGATGGCCTTAACTTTATACATTTTGATGTGCTATTGCCAGACCTTTAAAAATTTAAAATACAGATTATGATCAAAATAGCTATAGAAGTCGAGTTTTAAATAATCTGAGATAAAAACTATTCATTTTGAAAATAATACTCAATAGAAATGCATCCAGGAATTTTCCAGTTTAAGTTATGGGCCTGAGTATATTTAACCAAAAATAAATAGCAAAGAGCTTTTACTTTTAATTGTATTGTAGAATATAAAAGGTATATATGGCAATAGTGTTTCCTTTTCCTTCCACAAGAATTCTTTGAAAAAAGAGGCTCATGAAAAAGACAAGACAAAAGACTGAAATAGTGGAAAGTCTTATAACAGAGGATATCAGCCCTAGAGTTCTTTCCTGACACAAGCATAAACATTTTGAATCCAAACTACAAGTATTCATCTGTTTAAAGGAAACAGCAGTAATTATTAATACCATTGATCTGCCTATTATTTATTATTCATTGCTCTGAATGATCAAGTATAAATTCAGTTTTATCATTAGTGACATTTAGTGAGAATGTTAATACAAATATTTTGTTGGAGCTTTCTGGCTTGGTGTCAACATTGAACATAGCTAGAACAAAAAAAGAAAGTGAAATTGGAAAGTGTAAAGGATTCTAACAAAATTATCAGGCAGTTAAGATCCCTTGGTTCTATAAAGAACCAAATTCAAAATTCTTAATCTTTCTTACCCAGCTTGCTCTACTGAAGTGCTCAGAAATATAACTTCAAAAACTCTCTCTCTCTTTCTCTTTTGTAGTTATAAGATGCTTGCTGATCTGAGATATTTTTTCACGAACATAATGAATAATACCAACATACCAAACTTTTTGGACTTTTCTTCTGATGGAAAGAATAATTGTAAAGAACCACCTGGCAAGCTTTATCTGAAAGTGAAACGATATCTGATAATTTCCCAGAGTGTAACTTATAACGCACATCATCACACAGCATCAAAAAAGAAAATAAAATTGTCTCACAACATCTTGTGGTTGCTTCCTAATATGATACTGCACTGTTCCTAAAGTTATTTAATAGTGATTAATTGCATAATTGTTTTAATAGTTAATATGTGAATCCCTTACATGAATGTCTCTTTGTTTTATTTTAATTCGAATGCAATTTTGATAATCCAGGATATTTTTAAAAATATATTTTATAATATTTTCAATCTACTACAAACTCCAACATATAAAATTTATAAGTAAATACAGAGACAGAATTTTCAAGTTGCCTAAATGATTTAAAATATTGTGTTTACAATTATCATGAAGGAAATAATAATATATTGATGCTTTATGTAACAGTAAATTTGAATTCTTCTGAAAGATATAACAGACTAATTTTACTGTAGACACTTCATTAACTTTGTAATTAAATATAACTTGGTCAGGACACTGTCTTTAACTTTCTCTTTGTCATAATGATACATTTAACTGTTTTGTATTCTATTGGGCTAAAGAACTTGGTAAATATAGTTTTTTAACATTTTACATTTTTTTCCTGAATATATGTTTTAAAATCTTTACAGTGTTTCCAGTTGAATTATATCTATGCATTGCTATCTTTTTAAACTTGGGACTTTTATTTATTTCATAGTCTTTATATTTTATTTAAAAAGAATAAAATTTTGCAACCTGTGTAATCCTCTATCTCTAACTGGACAACCCAATTAAAAAGCATAATATAAAATTTTCTTGAATGACATCTGAACAATGTTGTCAGTACGTGAAGACTGTGGGAAGATATTCCTCAAGAAATTGTAAATAAGGGAAATTAGACTATTCTCTCAGATTTTAGTTATATATTTAACATATTTAGGGGATGGAGAATAAGTGAATTCCAAAAGCATCAACTAGAAAATACTATATAACACTTTGTAAATACTTCTTTGAAGAGCTTCCTTAAATTACACTTGTATATTCTAGACAAGCTGGGCTGTATTGGCATGTTAAAACAGTGACATATACAAAGGCATAAGAATGTGAAATAACAGCCTTATGCAGTAGTGTCAGTATTCTAGTCTTTTTGATAAGCTCTTCCTTATAGTAGTATAGTTCTTCAAATTACCTTAGCTGAGGGGCTTCTCTTGAAACAATCTAAATAACCTTTTCCTTTGACTAAATTCTGGTTCAATTTCATAATTACTAGGTTTTGAGGCTGTGTGCCTCGGCTGCAAGCATTGGAGTATTCATATATACACACTTTGATATTCTTATCCTTATGCGCCTTAATAATCTGACTACTAATCAAAATTAGTAGGGTGCACTTTAGTTCATCTCTGTCTAGCTCTTTCAGAAAGATCAGGAATATTTAAAGATATAAAAACATAAAATTAGCCCTCCTTTATTTGATAAGAAATTAGATATGCATTCTATTAACTTCTATTTTAATGTTGGGGAGATGAGATGAACTAGGATATCTTAGGGACAGGGTTGGCTACTGAACCACTAAAGAATACTCTTTCAAAGAAAATTTTATTAGTCATGAAATTTTTCTAGTGTAGTCCCATCAATTTAAGATGTCAAAGCTTCCATGTTTAAATTAAGATAATAACTTTATTACAATACTGTAATTTCCTTGAGGGCAGGGCTCAAGGAAATTCCTGTATCCACGTATAATGATAAAGCATTATTTTGTGTAGTTAGGCATTTTTTAACATAAGATCGCTTTAACTTCTCACCTGTCTCCAAAGAGGTAGGTATTATCCATAATTTTATAGATGTGATATCTGAAGCTAAGAGATAAGTAACTTGCCCAAGGTTACAGCTAGTAAATTGGAATGGAAAATTTGAACCCAGGTTATGAGATGACAAAGTTAGGGTTAAATTTCTACACTATACCTCTGGGAGCATCCTGGATTATAAAGTAGATATCACCACAAATTGTTCCTAAAAGTGAACAGGGTGCCTATCTGAATCACCAAATAACATCAATGTTCTTCATAACTGCCAGCCTGCCACAGCCTTGCAAATCATATGTCTGAAGCAGGGACTAGGTAGCCTAACACATACTCGAAATTCCACAACTATCTGTTGAATGAGTTAATAAATTTGTCAAATTTTGTGCTGATCACATTTTATCAGGAAACTTATTGTCAAATCTTTACACAGTAACCTGATCATCATTATAAACATCTTTCATGATTAGCCATTTTCCAATTTGTAATCTTTGTGTGGCAAAAGTGTCAAGTAAAATGAAATGGCCAATATCTGATAGTCTTCCTGGACAAAAAAGAAAATTACGTATATTTAAATCCAATGTTTACCTCACATTTTATTTTTTTTGTTATCTAAGAAATTTTGAGTGACTTTCCAAAGTTCAGTAATCTCACACACATATATTACACTTTTATGCCCATTTATTTTTTATAATAACTTCTGATTATCCATTCATTTAAGATATAATACATTCTTTATTTCTATAACAATGTTATTCATTATATTCTATATTGTCTTTTGAACTTTTTAAAATGGAAATCCTGTCCTAAAACACATTTATGTGGGATCTCAAGAATCATTCTCATTATAGTGTAACTGTTCAAATTGAAACTTAATTTATAAGATGATATATATTGAAAAATTGAAGAAATATAATTGAATATAAGAAAAAATGTTAACTGAATAATTATTAATATAATCAAAATAAAGGAGGCTTTTAATATATCTTTCTGCTACTCATGGTATAAAATTTCAAAATATACTTCAAAATTAACTTAGTGAACTGGACTAATTCTTCGAGATTTCCGTGCACTCGAGTTAGTGGTGCAGCACACCACCAAGGCACATGTATACATATGTAACTAACCTGCACATTGTGCACATGTACCCTGAAACTTAAAGTATAATAATAAAAAAAATTAATAGACCTTAATTTTTAGAGTAGATTTATGATTACAGCAAAACTAATCAGAAAGTGCGGAGTTCCTGTACATTCTTTCTGTAACAGACTGAACGTGTCCCTTCAAAATTCATATGTTGAAATCCTACTCCCAATGTTATGGTATGGCACCTCTGGCAGATAATTAGGTCATCAGCATGGAACCCTCATTAATCAAATTAGTGGTCTTAGAAAAATAAAAGGAACCCCAGAGAGCTCTCTTGCCCTCTTTCTGCATGTCAGGATACAAAAAGACAGCAGTTTGCAATCCAGAAGAGGGCTGTCACAGCACATCACCATTCTAGCAGCCTGATTTTAGGCTTCCAGCCTCCAGATCTGTGAGAAATAAAGTTTTGTTGTTTATAAGCCACCCAGTCAATGGCAGTTTGTTATAGCAGCCCAAACTAATACACCCTCTTCAAGCACACTCAGGCTCCATCACTATCAGTATCCCTCAAGAGTGTGGTACATTTATTACCATCCAAGAAGCAATATTGATACATCTTTATCAACCAAAGTCCATAGTTTACATTAGGGTTCAATCTTAGTTTTATACATCTTATAGATTTTGACAAAAGTATAATGACACGTATCTGCCATTGTAGTTTCATTCAGAATAATTTCATTACCCTAAAAATTCTCTATGCTCCACCTATTCACCCTTCTCTCCTCCCCAAACCCTAGTAACCACTGAGTTTTTAACTTTCTCCATACTTTTGCCTTTTCCAGAATGTCATACAGTTGTAATTATACAACATGTTGACTCTTCACATTGGCATATTTCACTTAGAAATATAATTTAAGGTTCTTCTATGTATTTTTATGGCTTGACAGCTCATGTATTTTCCACACTGAATAAAAATCTCATTATATTAATGTACCAGAATTTATTTATCTGTTCACCTATTGAAGGACATCTTGGTTGCTTCCTAGTTTTAGGAAATACGAATAAAGCTGATATAAACATTTGTGTGCAGGTTTTTGCATATACATAAGTTTTCAGCTTATTTGGATAAATACCAAGGAGCGTAATTGCTGGATTGCATCGTGAGAGTAAGGTTAGTTTTCTAAGAAGCTGCCAAATTGTCTTTTTGCATTTCCACAAGCAAAGAATGAGAGTTTCTGTTGCTCTACACCCTCCCCAGCATTTTGTATTGTTAGTGTTTTGGATTTTAGCTATTTTAATAGGTGTGTAGTGGTATCTCATTGTTTTAATCTAATGACATGTTATGTTGAACATCTTTTCATATGCTTATTCCCATCTTTATATCTTATAAGCCCAACTTATATATTTTTTTTCTTTCATGGACTTTGTCTTTTGTGTTTTATTTAAAATGTAATTGTCAAACCCAAGGACACCTAAATCTTCTATGTTATTTCCCAGGAATTTTATAGTTTTATGTTTTACATTTAGGTCTATGATCCACTTTGAGTTAATTTTCTTGTGGAGGACGTAAAGACTATTTTTGAGGGTTTTTTGTTTTCTTTTTTATTTTTGTTTATGGATGTCCAGTTGTTGCAACACCAATTTGTTCAAAAGTCTATCCTTTCTCCAGCAAATTGTTTTTTCTCCTTTGTCAAAGATCAGCTGATTATATTTTTGTGAGTGCATTTCTGAGTTCTCTATTCTCTTTCATTGATTTATTTGTCTATTCTTTCACTAATATCATACTGTCCTGATTACTGTATTTTTACAGTAAGTTGTGAAGTTCAGTAGTGTCAGTTTGCCACTTAATTCTCATTTTCCAGTGCTGTGTTGGCTCTTCTGGGTCTTTTGCCTTTTCATATAAACTTTAGAATTAGTTTGTCAATAGCCACAAGATAACTTGCTAGAATTGTTTTTGGAATTGTGTTAAATCTGTAGCTCAATTTAGGAAGAATTGGCAGCTTGACAATACTAAGTCATTGTATCAATGAATATGGAGTATCTCTCAATTTATTTAGTTTCTGTTTATTTCTTTTACGTGGTTTCCCTCCAACAGGTCTTATACATAATTTAAAAAATATACCTAAGTGTTTATGTTTTTGGTGCCAATATAAGTGATCGTTGTGTTTTTAATCTTGTTCATTCAAATTTTTCATTACTGATATAACAGAGTAACTGACTTTTGCATATTAACTTTGCGCCCTGAAACCTTGTTATATTCTGTGATTAGTTCCAGGAAGTTTTTGGAATTTTCTACATAAATAAGTCATATTTGAACAAATACAGTTTTATTTTTTTCCCAACTTGTACACCATTTATTTCCTTTTCTTATATTGTTGCATTCGCTAAAACTTTCAGTATGATGTTGATGAAGGGGCGTGAAAGCGAACATCCTTGCCGTGTTCCTGACCTCAGCAAGAGAGCTTTTAACTTCGCACCATTAAATAGAATGTTAGCTGTAGGATTTTTGTAAAAATTATTTACCAAGTTTAAGAATTTTCTGTCTATTCCTAGTTTGCTGAGAGTTTTTAACCATCAATGGGTGTTAGATTTTCTCAAATGCTTTTACCATTACTATTCATAGGGTCATGTGTTTTTTTCTTCTTTAGCCTGTTGATGTTATTGATTACTTAAACACTTTTCAAATGTCAAACTAGACTTGCATATCTGGAATACGTATAATTCTTTTTATGTATTGTTGAATTTGATTTTTTATATTTTAGATTTTTATTAAATTTTTAAAAAATTTCCACACTAACTGTATTGTAATCTTTGTGATGGATATGTACACAGAAAGAAAATTGAGGTCCAAGACTCTCAAAAAGGGTTTGGTTGGAGTAAAATAAAAGCCGATGCTATTTCAACAAACCAGAAACTGTTCTTTGTGTTGTGCTTACCAGAATGACAGAGTGTCTCTCCTGTGGATAAAGAAGTCCAGGACCCCTAGAATCCTTTCTCTTGAAAATGATATTATAAAAGGAGGACACAAGTTTGTGTTTTAAAAGATAAACCATATTATATTTAATAGATATTTGTTGAGTGTCTCTTTTCTACTGAGAGCTGGAAAAATAAGGAAGATTGTGTGGAGTTCGAACTGTGTTGTGATGCAACCACATAGACAGATTAAATACGATGATAAAGGGCTCAGAACTCTGGGTGCATAGCAGAAAGACTGGCAAACTCGACCTGAGAAAATGAAAGAAGACTTCACAGAAACACTGGCATTTGTGATGGATTCAAAAACTGATAAAATTTGGAATGAAAGAAGAATTAGAAAGGCATTTCAAACATAAAAAAAAAACATAAGAATACCATGGAGTGTGAAAGTTCATGTGGATTCTTGAATGGAGAACGTGGGGTAGAAACAGTGAACCTTGGCTGGAAAGTCACACTGAGGCTTGGTAGCAAAAGGAACTTGTGTTACCCTCTAAGGAATTTAAATGTATATGCTTCCAGTGATAAGGATTTAAAGATCCTAAAGCCAAACTTGTTCCTGCCATTGTACCAATGAATTTGCAAAATTTTGCTAAGAGAATATAGTACGTACTGAAAAACTGACAGTACAAAGTCATTATTGCCATGTTGTAAAAATAATCAGAAACCACCCGTCACACACAGTTGTTATCTACATTATCTTATCTCCAGAGACATTAAGTTCTTCTGCCCCATTTTTTATAGTTTTTTTTCTGTGTGTATCAAGGGCATACTTTCTATATCCTGTGTGCCATTATTACTAATTCTCATGCTTACAACCTTACTTAAAGCATTTTATGTCATTTAATTTGGTACCCAATAGCATGCCTTATTCCTGAGATATTTTTGAAATTTAAGTGTAATGTAAAGTATCAGCAAAACTTTAAATATTGTCATTCCATTTAGTAGATTTAAATAATATTTTAAGGTATTTTCATTTTATAATCTAAATTGGACTTTCCTGTTGATTGATTGTACTTGCAATCAGAAGACAGCTTGTTCTTCAGCATTGGGGGCAATGTGGAAATGTCTTGAGCATGGAAAACATGTCTTACAAGTGAGAATTGAACAATATTAGAGATGGAAGGTCCTTTAGAGATAGCTTAATACAATAATATTTGCTTATTTAAAAAAGGCAGTGCAAGGCAAATAAGTAGCCCAGTCACAGAACAAATGATTGATAGAGCTAAACTAAGCCCAAAGTTTTATTTGGAGATAGCTCTGTGCTCTATTGTTCAAGCAGGTTAACATTTTATAATTGCCACTGGCTATCATCAATTATTTCTTCTTTGAAGACCAAAGTTGTAAGCGCTAACTCCAAGTTAAGAATTTTTGATCATGGAATGCAATGTAAAGTCTTGAAATGAGAATGCAGATTCTCTGTCTGGGAAATAATTTTTCCTTTTTTTTCTGTATAAAAATCAAGTGAAGTAAAACCCAGACTTTACAGGTCATAATGATGAAAAACTTTTAACTACTACTTTGACATTCCAAGATCTGAGTTAAATTTTGACTCTTAAAGCATTGCTTTACAACTAGCTTGTAATATATCATTGGTCTATAAAAATTGGGACAATAATAGTCACTAAGATGCAGGTAAATGTTGTGTAGAATATTGATAAAGTGTTGATTTTCATTACTAAAATTACTTGACCTGAAATGTGTAACTTAATTTACAATGAGAATACAGTAACAATGCATTTTTACATAGGGCTGATGGTTTCAGATTATTTCTGTGATTTAATTTTAGAGTATGAAACTTAAATTTCATTAATTTGGTCCAGGAACTGGAAAAGTAATTGATGATAAGGAACTGTATTTAAGATAGTGAAAACCAATTCATTTGTCTTTTCATAATTAGGCCTGTAGTGGAAAGCTAATCTGTAAATAAAAGAAGAAAATAAATAAAAAGGAAACAAAATTTCTCAGGAAACAATCTTTGCTCTGACCACTCAGCTTTGTAATGTAGCAGCTTGTAATATACTTTCTATTAAAGATTCTTAAGGGAAAAAGAGATACAACCTACTGTGGCTTCAGCATAATAGCAGGAGTGAAGGTAAATATTAATCGATAAAAAATGAAATTAGCAGCTCAATAATCTTAAACTCATAATGTTGCATGGTGAACATTATAATGAACTTCTGATTTCTTTTATATAATCTTGTCTAGAATGTCAAAGGGATACATAAAGTTGGTTATTTCCTCACAGACATAATTGACACACATTGCCCATTTTTTGGGGTGAAATTCTCTTTAATGTTGAATAGCAATCCCATCAATGTCTGAATCACATGAATCAAATATTGCATGGCAGAAAGCAGACCTCTATGAGAAATTAATGTTAACAATATGAACTTCCATTGAGTACGTATTATTCTGCTGTGATAAGTAGGATTTAGATCTTTCTCTTATTAAAGGAATAGTGTTAGTGGAAAGAAAGAGTTAGAAAAGAAGGGACTAGAAAGTAATTTCCCATTAATGAGATAAAATATAAGAATAAATTGTTTTCATAATATTAAGTAAAATAAGAGTAAGAAGAAGTAAAATGTATTATGTGAGTAAGTGAGGCAGTGGAGTGGAGAATTGAGTTGCTAATGGTTCTCTTGAAAATATATAAACTACATAAACAAGGAGAGTATCCTCGTTTTCATGCATTGCCTTCAATATAGACCATCTTCTCTCCGAAGCCCATGCTATGCCCCTCACACCCATTCCCCAGCGCCTGGCCAGTTGTGGGCGCTCAATAAATATTAAACAACCAAAGCACGAAGTATTGTCAAAAAGTTTAGAATTCACAGGAATCTATAATATTATCATAATTTAACATTTATTGAGGGTCAACAGCATGACTTAGTCAACATATGCAAATAAGTTATTTTAAAAATACATATTAAGCAAATAATTAAATACAATTGTGTTAACTAAATCTTCTGTTTTACTTCATTGATTTTAAATGTAAAATTGTTTCTGTCTTTTTTTATAACTTTGGTACACCAAGAAATATGAACATTCATTATATTCAAATGGATAAAGTTTTCTCAGGGAAATCATTACTCTTAGATATTATTAGCATTCACTTGAAAGTATGGAATAAATCTACAATCAGTACACATCACAGATTTTAAAAAGACCAGTGCATACACAAAGAAGAGAAGAATCTGATAAGGTGGATGAGGACAGTGATAGATTTACAAAGCTTGCAATAGCACTTGGGTTTTGCCTGGTGTTGTGACAACGTAAAACACTATTACAATTATGTAGGGAACCATTGTTTACAGAATAGCATCAAAAGCAAAGAAAGAAACTCTTCAAGTGGACACAAATTAGCCCATTTATGAATTTTGAAACATTCCTTAATTTAAGGCAAAGTTGAATATTTTATTATAGTGAACTCTGATACATTTATGATCAACAGGCTCCAACTTTATACTTAATAAAATGTTTACTAACTGTGTTAAAATTTATTCTTGATGGTTAGTAGACAAATCTTATTTAATTACCTAAAAATATTTTTGTCGTGTTTCTTCTTAACTGACTGTCGAAGTGATTTTTAATTCTTAAGAGAACTGAATACTACATTATTCTGTAATAAAACTTTCAACTTAATTTTGAGATACTGGAATATCCATAGTATTTAAGTCCAGAGATTCAATATGCACAATTATACTCAGATCACAAAGTGTACTTAAACTCTATTAAGAGTAACAAAAATCATATAATTTTTCTAAATAAAGTCCACATGTTTAAACAAATAAATAAAATAAATATTTAAAGAGAATTTAACTATATTTCAATGAATTATAAACTAATAGATTATTTATACTTCTGAAGATAACTAAAAACTATGTAAGAAAGCAAAGTATACAAGTCTTAAAGCATTATGCATAACTATTAGAATATGGGACAATTTATAGAATGTCATTATTACTTCTCATATTACTTTATTAAAAGCACAAAATATCTATTTTTTGTATCAGTTATTAGTAATAGATATACTATCATAAAAATATGCAAAATATCCAAATATATTATTTCCTATGATTGTTATGATTGAAAAATATGAGGCCATTGTCATACAATATTTAAAATTGAAATGATTTACCAAGTCAATATAAAAATAGCCATTGAAAGAACCTCATTTTTTTCACACAATCCAAGAGCCTAAGCTTTAATAAGATAAAAGAAGATTTTAGTAAACAAAATTATAAAATCATCTGAAGGAGTAAGATCCTATCTCTAAGAACCATTTCCAGTCTCTTGTCCACTAGAGGAGACATTATAAAATTAATGAAACTGACACCAATGTGATGATCAGAAGAAAGAAACAATGTTTTCAAATCAATTGTCTGTTTGGTACTATTATTAGTGTGGGTGTTTTATATCTAGTCAATCTTCTTTTGATATACTGTGGCTATGAAAACAACCTATGAATATCATGAGTAATCAGCACTTTTATACTAGAGGGGGAAAGCTATAAAACTCAATGAAATCAAAGTAATTTGATAATTTATGTCATCTGTGTTGAAATTGATTTTATAAGAAAAAATGCCTAAGTATCTGTTACATGCTTATCTAGAAGTTTACACATTTTCATATCCTTTCACATATGTTTTCATGTTTGCCCTATACAACATCTTCTCAGATGGGCAGATCAGGGATAATTACCTTTATTTTTTAAAAAAATAAATTTAGACTCAGGAACACGCATAAATGAACACACTGAAATTAGGATCCAGTGCTCCCACTTTATATTTCAGAAACTAAAATTCCACTCTTCTTCAAAAAGAAACCAACAGAAACATCTACTGAACTGTAAAATTTCAGAGTCCCCAGAAGCCAGAATAAATTGGAAAACATTTTCCATGCAATTATAAAGGGATTTTATTTTGAAAAGCCCAAGGAAATAAATTCTTAACCAATCTTTTTACTTAACTGAATTCTTAACCTTAGTTTACTTATTTGACATGTGAGGGATTGAAGGATTTTCTTGATATATTTATGTCAAAAGATCTTAACTTCTGATATTAGGATTTCATACATTTAATTGCATCTCAAATTTGAAGGAGAAATCATTTAGACTTTGTTCTTGATAAAATTATTGCAAGTTCTAATTTAATTTATTACAATAAATATAGTATTATTATATAAGAGCAATGACATGAGGGAACGACAATTAAAATTATTAGCACACTTGAGCTCTAAGAGAAGCCACATCACTTTAAATGTTTTAAGTTTAGTGTACTGTAGCATTTTTCTCAAGCAGAGTCTGGAGTGATCTATTTATGATATAACTACATAAATACAAATAAAATGCATTAACTATTTTATACCATTATGATTTATAACACTGAAATTTCAGACCTCTTGGGAGAATGGTTGAAGTCATAATATAGTATATATCATAATATACTCTATTTTTGCTGTTATTTTCTTCATTTTAACTTTTACATATTTTTTTTCAAGCAACAGAAATAGTTTTTGCATGTATAGGATTGGGCCATCTTTATTTTTCAAATTATAATCAGTAAGGTGGTGTTAAAACCACAAATCAAATAGGAATATGTCTACCAGTTACCCTGGATCATTGTCTTATTCCCAGCAATCTTCAGCATGTCCCCTGATGTAATTAAACAGTTTGGGGAGTTTCCCTGTTCGGAACTGATATTCAAAGTTCAGTTACACAAAAGAAAGACCAACCCAGATTGCTGTCTCACATTCTCCCTGGCACAGAAAAACATGCAAGGACAGTGATAAAGAGTAATAGACTTAAAGGTTATTGTCTTCCGCCTGTCTGAATCCAGTGCTTTCCTCCGCATGTTGTTGTCTTTCTAAAGAAGATAATGTCAACCTCCTTCATTTTTTTTTACCTTGCTCCACTGTCTTGGTTGTTTTCTCTTCCTTCTTTCCAGGTACAGCTGCAAAACAAAGATAAGGTTTAAAGAAGAGTTCCAGACAGAAATACTGCTTCTGCTCAAAAAAAGCATTTTGGAGTTCTTTCAATGCTAAATCTTTCTTTTACACAAGTTATTTTGAAGCTTCTTAAACATTTCTCATTTCTCTATAACGCAATTGAAACCAGATTTTATATCTAAAGAATTAAAGAAAAAAGTGATAATCTTCTGCCTACATTTCTACAATTGTATCTGTTTTATTCCTTTACACTCCGCTTTGATAAACAAGCTCTACATAGAATTCCACTTGACAGGACTATGATTAATCTACTTGCATTCCAGGTTATTGCTGGAGTCATTTAGTGTCTTGTAAATGTCAACTAGATGCTCCTTTATATTCGTGCTTAACATAGCTTAATCAGCTGAAACAATAGTGTAGTCATGCCTGAGATTCATTTAAATATTAAATGAAACCATCCCAAATCATCAGTAACCAAAAGGGGATTATTTGGGTGCTGTACCCCTTTCTCTAAGATGTTTTGCTCTCAGTGAAGTATTCACTGTTTACCTATTTACAGTAGTTGACAGTCCAAAAGTAGAACAGTACAAATGATTCATTTGGAATCAGTGCACTCCATTGAAAGAATTGATTCAAGAAAATCTTCAGAGTTCATTAGCAACCATTAAATGAAAGATTGATGAGGAACTGATTATTGCTATTGCACCCAAATATCACCCCACATAAAACTGAAAGAAGAAAAAATACAACTTTAAAATGAAGAAATGTGTCTGTAGCCAACTTAACCCACTGATGAAACTTAGAAACATTCATTCATATCAGGACATCCAGACATCTTTTGCTTCCTGATGAGATGCCGTGTAGCATATACAGTATCATCTCTAAAGTATTATTTCCAAGGTATCCAACTGAAATTTAGCTAAGCCAGATTTAGCTTTCAGTTTCATCAAATACAGGATGTATAGAACATTTTAAACCATATTGTGAAGAAATAATTAGACCAATCAAAAATGTCTATAAGGTAACTGGTCCTGATCTTTGTAAAAAGACAGTGTAATTAAGAAGGGAAGAAGGAAGGAGGGAGGGAGGGAAAAAAAGGAGGTGAATTTCACCTTTAATTATATCTGTTGAAAAAAACAGATATCCAAAAATTTGAATATGCACTGGTTAGAAAAAAATTCCCTATATTTCCAGGAAAGTAACCTATTATTTTACCCAATTATGACCCCAAAATAGAGCAAACCATGTGACTGTGAAGCAAGGGAGATGTTAAACTAAAAGCAAATAAATATGTATGAACCTCACAGATCACACCTGTAGATAAATCTTACATAACACAAGATATTATAGGGTAAATACCAATGAATGCTATGCTCTTTATTTTGCTGTTTTTGTTAGATTATAGTCAATATTAGGGTTAGGACAGTGGGAAGGGGTAGGCAAGTTGGCCTTCAATGCTGAAATAAAGGCACAAGTCCCAAGATATTCCTGAGGTGACTTTCCAGAACTGATTTATTACCAGAAAAGAACTGTGCAGTTTAGCCTGAAATTATCAAATTCCCTTGAAGGGCAACCACAATTCTGGTTATTCTAAGGGATTATGTGTCCTAGAAGAAGAAGCAATGAATGTTTTAGAGTGCACAGTCCAGTTTTGCCACTGAATTTCTGCAAAAATGAGTGCACATTATTTTACCTTGAGCCTTATTCTTTTTGTTAAAAATGCAGATAATGCTACAAGGGCTGTTTTAAGGTCTAAGTGAAAACAATTTAAGGAAATCAGCCCAGTGGCAGCCACATAACTCATTAAATAGAAGCTGTTATTATTTTATTAACCTTTGCCTAAAACACAATCATCTCACTTTCACAGGCAAACTCCTGTTTATTCATCCAATCTTATTTTAGGGCTGTAATACATTTTCTTTAAAAGGCAAATTAAATCTGAAAAATAAAGAAAATTTCTATAAAAATAACATTAAAATTGTTCATAGATTAGTTAGATGTAAGTAAGGAGTAAAGGGCAATGTAGAAATACATATCTGAAGAAATAGCCTGGAATTCATCCCAGAGAAACAAAAAGATGGAAAATATACAAGAGGTTAACAGACATAGAAGATAGAATTCATCTTAACATACATCTAATTGAACTTATAAAATAAAAGATTAGACAGTGTGAGGAAGAAGTGATATTTGAAGAGATAATAGCTAGAACTTCTCCAGAATTTCAGGCACCAGCAATAGGACTCTGGAAGCACAAGAAATCTAAGTAGGGAAAGGATGGCCTAATTTAATTAATATATTTCCCTTACATTGTAACAATAAAATAAAATAAATAAAATAACTATTTTCTTTTAAATTGCACAAATCCTACTACTGTCTCTTAGAAAAATATCAGTCTTTCTATGCAGTAGTATCACATTTTGGCTTTAATTTCAGTCTTTCCTGATACCTAATAATGCCACATGCTTTTCATATACTTATCAGCATTTAGATAACCTCTTCTGTGGAGTGCCTCTTTAGATTTTTGCCTAATTTTTTAATGTTTTTTACATTGATTTGTATGCATCTGTAATATTCTAAATGAGTCTTTTTAAATATATATATACACATACACACATATATACATATACTGTAAATGTCTTCTTCCACTTACATTTTTTTCTCTCTGGTTTACGTTAACAGGAGTTTCAATGATAATTAAATTCAATGTATCAATCTTTCCTTTGTAACTAATGCTTTTTGTATTCTATTTAAAAAGATTTGCCTCCACCACGGTTATAAGATATTCTAAATTTTCCACATTTTTTCCTGGTAGCATTATAATTTTTAATCATTTAAATTTAGCAGTACAATCCACTGAATTATTATTTGTGTAAGGTGTGAGATAAAATTTCACTTTTTTCCTAATGGATACCACTCAGTCTTGATTACTCCTGTAGGTTTAAGATAATTCTTGATATCTACTACTACAAACCTTCCAGTTTGATCTTGTTCAGGATTGTCTTGGCTATTCTTAGACATTTGCTTTTTCATATGAAAATCGAGTCAGCTTATCAATTTAAATAAAACAATAGCAACAACAAGAAATCTGCTAGGATTTTGACTGGGATTATGATGAATTAATAGATCATTTTGAGAATTGATATCTTTACAAAATCAAGTCATCTGATTGGTGAACATAAAATATCCCTCCATTGAGTTTTGTGTTCCTTAATTTCTCAAATATGTTAAAATGTAAGAGATCTTCAAGAACATTATGCATAATTTGTTACATTTATTTCAAGATATTTTATGGATTTGATGCTATTATATTAGAACAGCATTGTAGTCATCTTTCACTTTATTTTCCAAAGTTTTGCTCTTGATTTCTAAAGCAGTTATGTTTCATTTGACATTTTATGCAGAAAACTTGCTAGTCACTCAGTTGTAGCAATTTTCCTCTATAGATTGTTTTGAATTTTTTAAGTAGATAATCATATCATTTGTGAATAACGTGTTTTATTTCTTACTTCTCTATTTGCATATTTATGATTTCTTTTTCTCATTTTACTGCACTGGATGGAAAACCCACTATGGTGTGTGATAGAACTGGTGATCGCAAACATCCTTATTTTGTTTTGATTAGCAGGGGGAAAACCTTTAATTTCCTCCATTAAGTATGATGTTTGCTAATGGTTTTTGCAGATGTTTTATCAGATTAAGTAAGTTTCTATTCTTGTGATGAATTATATCAAATGTATCTACTATGATGAATATAGTTTCCTTTTATTCTGGCTAATTACATCAATTTGTATGTATTTTAATTTTTTGAGCTTGCATTTCTGAAATTAAACCAACCTGACTGCATTTTATCTTTCATACGTACTAGCAGACTTAATCTGCTAATATTTTGTTTAGACCTATGCCTCTAGGTTTACAAGAAGTTTATATATATATATATATATATATATATATATATATATATATATATAGTTGTTGCTCTACTTAAGTTTTGGTATTACAGTAATTCTAACCCCATATAATGAGAGAATATTACCTCTTTTTCTATTCTCTGGAAAATTTGATGTAAGATTGGTGCTAATTTTTTCTTAAATGTTTGAAATAATTCACCAGTGAAACCATCTGGCTAAAATTGAGGGAGGGGAATAGAATTACAATTATAAATTTAAAATTTTAATTTTATTAAAATGTTTTAGTTTATTGGAAAATCTTTTTATTTGCTTATTATCTATAGAATCTGTAGTGATGATCCCTTTTTATTTCTGATATTGATATTTTGTACCTTCTCTGTTTTTTCTTAATATATTTTCATAAGCATTCATAATTTTTATTGTATTTTATTGATAATAATATTTTGACTTTTCCTGTTGTACTACTTGATTTCTAAATAAATAGCTTTGGCTCTTTCATTTATTTCTCTTCCTTCTACTTTCCTTGGGTTTAATTTTATGAATTAAAAAATATTGACTTCTTAGCTATCTTTTATTCCGCCTTTTTTCTTTTCTGATGAATGTTTCTAAAAGCATATAAATTTTATCATACATTTGTTCATTAGATCTCCAAAATCCCACTTTTTTCTTTGACTTATAGAATACTTAGAAATGTATTACTTACATTTACCATAGCATCTAGAATTGTTCCTAACATAGTAATTAATTAATATAGACTTGTTTTGTAATTAAATGTATCACTTGACAAAAGATATGTCTTGATAATAAATATTTTCAGTTGAAAGAGAAAAGAGATCAGTTTCAATGTTAGTGGTTTTCCAGGAAAAGGAGATTTTAGGTATAGCCAATGATATATGAGGAAAGACAAAGGAGTGGGAAAGACTTAGATGTTCCTAGAGGAAGTGTAGTTTGAGCAGAGGATTTCCAGAGAGGAGATAAGGGATAGTCTAAAAATAGAGAATAGGACCAAATGCAGAAACCTTTGAAAGCCAAATTAGAGCTACACTTTACAATGTACGCTATAAGAGGCTAGTAAGATGTGTAGTGCCTGAGTCTATTCTATGAATGTTCTGTCTCAAATCAACATGGAAATGAAACACTGACAATTTGTAACTATAATAGAGCCACACAGGTAGGTATTCTTATTCATAATTCTTTTATTCAGAATAATCATTATAAGTATGTTTAGGAAATACATATTTTTTAGTTATTTTAATTGAATCCCCTGAAGGGTAAATGTCTCAGAAAACAACTGAAGTGTGACTTACATATAAAGACCAAGTTTTCTTTTCAACGATGGGTTCATAATTTCTGGCACACATATTAAATAGAGAAGGCTAGTCCCTTAAAGTGCTATGTTTTTTGTTGCTCAGAAAAGGTCACTGGAAATGCTGATTATCTATACAGAAAAGATAACATTTCACATAAAATGTTGATCCTTTCTTTTCTGGTTCTAATGTAAAATTCATCAATTCTAATTCTATGAAGAGCAAACATTAGAAATAAACAGCTCATCTAAGTAAGTGAATTTTTTAACTTCTTGGAGTCAAAAGAAGACCGTCATCAGTTTCTCTTTCTATACCACAAGATATCTGGAATATCCTTTAGTGCTGAGTGAAGAAATTCTCTTTTTTCTACTTTTGTAGAAGCGTATTTTAGAAAAAAAAATAGATTCTTATTTCACTACTTCAGAAATCAAAACTAATGTAAAGGAGACAAAGCAGCTAACACACTTGGTATGTAATGCCCAGATTAGGGCTATTCTTTAGCTAAACTGGGAGCTGGGACGTTGATTTTATGTTTTAGGCTTTTATTTCACTATTCTTCCCTACAATTTTCCTTCAGCACCCAATTCTCCAATACAATTGACATCCCTCCCTTTTTTCTCCGTATCACCCATGGGGGCTCTGATGTATGCCCTTTATTAGCAGTATTAGCAGGTACTTTTTTTTTTTTATGGAGTTTTGCATTTGTCGCCCAGGCTGGAGTGTAATGGTGCAATCTTGGCTCACTGCAACCTCTGCCTTCTGGGTTCAAGCGATTCTCCTGCCTTAGCCTCCCGAGTAGCTGGGATTACAGGCACCCGCCACCATGCCTGGCTAATTTTTTTGTATTGTTTTGTTTTGTTTGTTTTAGTAGAGACAGGGTTTCACCATGTTGGTCAGGCTGGTCTCGAACTCCTGACCTCAGGTGATTCACCTGCCTCGGCCTCCCAAAGCACTGGGATTACAGGCGTGAGCCACCGCGCCCAGCCTAGTAGGTACGTTTAAATGGAGAAGTGAGACTTACCTGGAGGAGAAGTATGCTAGAATAGTGGTGAGGAAGTGAGGAGTGGTAAGAAAATATTGTGCCGTTTGAAGTGTCCCTCATATGACACATATTACTTCGGAGAGGTAGACCTACAGCCATAGCATGATAAACTATTATTTCCAAAGATAGAATGCTATTATTTCCAAAAATATAAGATACTGCCAGAAATATAAGAACTGTCCATGATCTATTCAGATTTTACAGGTACTGCCCCGAGAGGTCATTGACTGAAACATTGGAATAAATCACTAATTATGAAAGAAAAAATATTGCATCAGTTTAGTCTCCAGATACATATTATGGTGGAAAGTGGAAACAGAGGTTTCTCGTCAATTCTCAGGTGATGCTAACTACTTAATCTGTTCACAAGGCTATCACTTCCTGCTCCAATCTTCCTACAGTCTTCTAACATAGTCGGAATTATGAACATAGCATTATAGGATTGTTGTAGCATAGAAAACAAGGCATGTCTAAAGATGAAGTTGGAAAAGGATATAGGAGCCAGTTCTTGGGGCACTCTATATGCCATTTTAACAAGCTTGGATTTTTATCTTATGGAAAACAGGGGAACAGAATATTAAATTTTAAGTGGCTTATTCAGTTTTGTGGTCTTACTAAATTATTGTGGCCATTGGGATGTTCTACTAGATGAATATTAGTGGAATAAAAATAAAAACATGAGGGCAGCATGAGGTTATTTCAGTGGTTCTGGTAGAAGACAATGAAGGCTTGAATTAGTATGGCAGTAATGGCTACAAATAAGAGAAAATATGCTCAAGAAACAGAAACAGTAAGTTGGAAAGAGAAAATGAGGACTTTAGGTTAAGAAAGATTGAATGTGAAGGGGATTTGTTTGTTTGTTTGTTTGTTTGTTTGAGACAGAGCCTCGCTCTGTCGCCCAGGCTGGAGTGCAGTGGCCGGATCTCGGCTCACCGCAAGCTCCGCCTCCTGGGTTCACGCCATTCTCCTGCCTCAGCCTCCCGAGTAGCTGGGATTACAGGCACCTGCCACCACGCCTGGCTAATTTTTCGTATTTTTAGTAGAGACGGGATTTCACCGTGTTAGCCAGGATGGTCTCGATCTCCTGACCTCATGATCCACCCATCTCGGCCTCCCAAAGTGCTGGGATTACAGGCATGAGCCACTGCGCCTGGCCGTGAAGGGGAATTTTTTTTTAATTTATTTTTTATTATTTTAAGTTCCGGGGTACAAGTGCAGGAAGCGCAGGTTTGTTACATAGGTAAACGTGTGCCATGGTGGTTTGCTGTACCTTATCAACCTATCACCTAGGTATTAAGCCCAGCATGCATTAGCTATTGTGAAGCTGAATTTGAAGATATTTATTGGGCAGTTGAACATACAAGCCTGAAATTCATTAAAAAATTCTGAGATGGGGACACAGGATTGAAAAAACTTCATGATATAGGGCAGAGTTTCAACTTTGAGAGCAGATATATCTCAAAAGGAAATGGTACAGAATGAGAAGTTCAGAGGATTAATAATGAATTATGAGGAACACCAACAATCACGAGGCAACAGATGAAAGAAAAAACACAAAGAAGCCAGAAATAAAGGCCAGTCATATGGAGAGAACCAGGGGACTATATTGTCATGGTAGCCCAACAACAGAGAAGTTTGGAGAAGAGACAAAGTGATAAATGCAACTGAGAAATCTAGTAACATAAGGATGGAAGCATTCTGTTGGCTTAGCAATGATGATGTCATCAGCATTGGCTGGAGCTTCAGTGGCATGGTAGGGACAGGAGCTTAGTCTTTGTGGAAGGCCAGAGGCAGTGCTAGGATTCCAGCATTCAGAAAGCTGGCTGACATGGGAAGGAGATAAAGTGGTAGAGAGACAGAGAGAAAGAGAGAGAGAGAGACGGAGAGAGAGAGAGAGAGAGAGACAGGGAGAGAGAGAGAGGTGTAAATCAAGGAAAAGAAGTAATTTTAATCAGAGAAAAAACATTTCCAAGATGAGGAACAATGCCAGTAACAAGAAAGAGGAGGACGCCACAAAATGGTATGGATGACTGATTTGAAGGAAAAACTGGAGAAACTGGTCCTGAAGAGAAGGAGAAACACTACCTCTGAGATTAAAAGATAGATGGATATGTGCCACATTTTCTTTATCCAGTCTATCATTGATGGGCATTTGGGTTGGTTCCAAGTCTTTGCTATTGTGAATAGTGCCGCAATAAACATACGTGTGCATGTGTCTTTATAGTAGAATGATTTATAATCCTTTAGGTATATATACCCAGTAATAGGATTGCCGTGTCAAACAGTATTTCTGGTTCTAGATCCTTGAGGAATTGCCACACTGTCTTCCACAATGGTTGAACACCATAGAATACTATGCAGCCATAAAAAAACGATGAGTTCATGTCCTTTGCAGGGACATGGATGAAAGTGGAAACCATCATTCTCAGCAAACTAACACAAGAACAGAAAACCAACATTGCATGTTCTCACACATAAGTGGGAGTGGAACAATGAGAACAGGGAGGGGAACATCACACACTGGGGCCTGTCGGTGGGTGGGGGGCAAAGGGAGGGATAGCATTAGGAGAAATACCTAATGTAGATGATGGGTTGATGGGTTCAGCAAACCACCATGGCATGTGTATACCCATGTAACAAAACACGTTTTGCACATGTACCCCAGAACTTAAAGTATAATAAAAAAAAAGAGAGAGAGAGAGATGGATATGGGTTAAATAAAAACACCAGCTACTATACTATTTTTTATTCCCAGCCAACTATCTTCATCATCATTTCTCATATACTTCACTCCCTCTTTCCTCATTCAATTTGTCACCCTTTAGGGTTTTTGGATGTCACTCCCCTGAAAATTCTGTATTGAAAATTATTAATATATTATGTACCTGACAAATCCCATGACCATCACCTTCCTATTGGAAGTTTTTTTTTCTGCAGTTACTGAAGTTATTTTAGTCTGCTTTTATCTTTGATTTTCCTTGTTCTTTCCCCAAACAAATGCAAATGTAAATGTTACCTTATCTCATCATGACCAGACAAGCTCAATTACCTCCATGCAAAGGGCACCAATGTATACATCTCCAGCCTATCATTGTCTGGAGCTCTAGTTTTATTTCTAGAACCACCTATGTGATGCTACCTTCATGTGCTACTAGCACTTTGACTTAAATTTATGTAAAATTAATCTTGCCTTTTCTCTCCAAAGTCTTTAGCTTTTCTTTTTCATTGTTATTAAGAATATTAACAATATTCTTCTGGCAGCCAGTCTGAAGAACGCTATTGTCATTAAATTATTTTTCTTTTCTTCCCTCCCAAAGCTTATCATCAGTTGTGAAATTCCACTGAATATACTTCTTTATTAGTGCTAACATAATCTCTCTCTCTTCCAATCTCATAACTAATGCCCTAGTCCAGGTCCTAACACTTTTCACTACATTGTTGAGAATCTTTCTAATCTGCCTATTTCAAAATTTTCCTTTATTAGTTACTCTCCCTAAAGCATATGTTTGAGTGTTATTTATATACTTACAATTTTTCATCACCTCCCTAATTGCCCATGGAATAAAGTCCAATTTTAAAACAAGGCCTTTTATGGCATTATTAGCCCAGTTTATATTAATTCCTACAATGGTCTTGAGATAATTACTGTTCCTCATATACATACTACAAATTTGTATCACTTTGCCTTGCTCTGAAATCTATGCCCAGGATATTTTTTTCTAACTCATTTACATAGCAAAACCCCATCTCTTATTTAAGGCTTAACTCTAAAGTCATCTTCTGCCGTAAACATTGTCTTTTCCCCAGGTAAGATTAATTTTCAAACTTCCGTAGAACTTTACCTGTATTTATATCTCTACCCTGATGGCTTTCAACCTTGAAATATGGTAATACAAAAAACTTTCATTGACAGTAAAACTTCAGGCCAGCTTAGTGACTTAATAAAGTTTCACCTATTTTTAGTATTTTAAATTGCTCAAGAACAATATTAACATTTAAAATTTTTCTCGATTTTTCATATAATATATAATCCACAAATATATGGTGAGTAAATATGAAAATGATTAGAAAACTGCAAGGTGAAAATCAGATATAAATTAGCAAGCTGCTATCATATTAATGACTAAATACTATGTATCTCCAAATAAAATATGACTTAAAAGTAGGCTTAAGATAAGACAATTTATGCTGCAGATAAATTGACACATTACAGTGAACACCTTAAAATGTTAAATTATTATTCATCTTCAAAAACTTTAAAACAATTACAAAATTAGTAATTTCCACTTAACATTGCACACAGTTCCTAGTTTAAGCCTCAATTTAGAACAATTTTGTAATATCTTAAAAACAAAAAAAAATACTTGCTTATTCTACTCACATGTGAAAGGCTAGAGGTGGACCAGTTGTAAAGTATGCTAAGTATTGTGGAATTTGGGGATTGGGTAGTAAATACATGATGAGAACAATATATTTTTTCATGCACGGCTGATTGTCAGTGAGAGGTAGGAGATGAACAAGTTACTTGACAAATGAGAAAAGTATCCTTTGATTTTTGTTTGTAATTTGTCAAATTGGTAAAACCCTTCATGAGTTTCAAAACAGCTATGGTTGCTTTGAAAAGGACACTTATTTCTGTTCGTGCTGTAGTTGCAAATAAACTCAATATGTAGAATTATATTTAAATTGAGAATTGGGGTATGAGATCTATGACCAACTAGAAGCAAAGTAGTTGATGTCAATAATGCATGCGAATAGATAGATAATTTATTTCCTTTCACTTCCCTCTAAGCCTGACAAGCAAGTCTACGTAACCCCAACCAAAATGTTTGGCCATACTCTATAAACTCAGTGACCATTCTTAGTTGAGGACTCTGGTGAGTTCACTAATTGATGGTTCAATTTCAATTCTGTCTATGTGCTAACTCCAATTTGTCCTGATTCAACCCCATACTATGTGAGCTTATATTTCTACCCTAAATACTGTTCAATCAAGCCTAGCCTGAAGTTGCCTCCTTACATATTTTGAGTTTGGCGTAGAGGTTTCTCTGTACATAGTGAACCCAAATGGAGGTAGAAACAGGCTGTAATCTACTCTTGTGCTAATTACCAAATTTTGGCCAACCAAAGGGAACCAGCTGTTCAAACTGTGTCCAAAAGAGGCAAAGGTCAAGCTGTAACCAATCTAGCTGTTTCTGTATCTCACTTTCTTTTTCTGTATGTCATGTTCCTTGTTCTGTCCATAAATCCTTCCACCACGAGGCTTTGCTGAAGTTTCTCTGAGCCTACTCTGGCTCAGGAAGCTGCCCAATTCATGAATCATTTTTTGCTCAGTTAAACTGTGTTAAATATAATTTGGCCAAGGTTTTCTTCTAACAATATCCAGGCTCCCATTGATGCAGAGCGCAGAGTCTATGGATCAGCTACCAGGAGTTCAACCTTTGCTTCTTAACTGTGTCTCAAGACTGTCTTCCACAAACATGGATTCACTAAGGCTCTGTATATAAAATCTAATTCCAGTCGGGCGTGGTGGCTCACGCCTGTAATTCCAACACTTTGAGAGGCTGAGGCGGGCAGATCACAACGTCAAGAGATTGAGACCACCCTGGCCAACATGGTGAAACCCTGTCTGTACTAAAAATACAAAAATTAGCTGGGCGTGATGGTGCGTGCCTGTAGTCCCAGCTACTCAGGAAGCTGAGGCAAGAGAATTGCTTGAGAATTGCTTGAACCTGGGAGGCGGAGGTTGCAGTGAGCCGAGATCGTGCCACTGCACTCCAGCCTGGTGACAGAGAAAGACTGTCTCAAAAAATTAAAAAATAATAAAAATAAAATCTCACTCCAAAAGAAACCTATCTTCTGCTATTTGGACATCTTGTTGCTTTTAGCTTTGTCTAATTTTTGAACATAAGTTGGCCACACTTTTGTCCTTTCAACATAAATCAGTGCCTTGGCCTTAAGTCCACTTACTGGGCCCATGAACTCTGTATCTATGTCTATGTTAGTGATTTTCTCTGACACTATATTAAGACTCAGTTTTTTCTTGTTAATACAATTACTCATTTTGAAGCAAACAAGTTTAACCCACATTTCACTTAATACTAATGAGCAATGTCAATTCCAGAATATGACACCGCATTAACAATAACTTCTGATAAATGAATTACTCTGCCATTTATAGTACAAATGATGTCAATGAAAGATGTATCATGATCACCTAGCTAAAAACTGACATCACAAATATTAGATTATAAGAAAAAGAAATGACTAGGAAATAGATTTTAGCCCTATCTACTGTAAATTCAGAATAATAGAGCTGTATTTGAAAGAGAGCATCTATTAATTTCAATAACTTAATTGCTTCTAATTATTGCCTGCAAATACAGTTCATATTTTTCTTAAAGAATTCACTAATTTTTGTTGCTTTCCCTTAGAGATATATGTATATATAAAATAATCAATAAATTAATTTATAGAGTAGCTAACATTAATTTATACTGTATCAATAAACATAAATTTATATTAGATATTAAGTTACATTCCTGTATTCATTTATATTCATATGTATACATTGTTTGGGATTGAGTATGTGAATATGTGTCATATATATTTTCTATCTACCTACAATCCTGTTATATGTTTTCTTTATAAAGCATGTGCAATAAATTAGTCTTTTAGGAGAAGTGGTTTTAGTGGAGTATGTGTGTAAGGGTATGTGTGCAGGTTTGCGTGTGTGTATGCATCAGTGTATGTTGAGGATAGGCTTATTAAATTGTCTCTTGATATACTTCCAAAGACATTGGCTACATTATTGACTTCATTTCAGACTTCCCAATATATTTCTTAAAGCAAAATGTCTCCAAGTCAGCATCTCACCTAATACATTTCATAATTTTATACTATTCTTGAACAAAGTGAATCTTGTTCATGTGAGTACTTTTAGTTAAAGTTTCATTTGTTCGATTCCTAATCTCTTAAGGCAGTATGTTGCACTAGAATGCTCTCCAGATGATGGGGATCCTATGGAGTTTAAACAGTTACATTTCTATAATTTTTCAAAATTAACTTGCAATTTGACTAGCATAACTAGCTTTAATTTATGGTCCTAAAGGAATAAAACTATAGGCTTTAGAACAGTAATGATAAAATCTTGTGCAAAATAGGTTTGTTTCTATATCAACGAACTAGTAAAATCAATAAATAGAGCTCTTTTCTAAGCACAAAACAATACATTGTTAGAAACCTTAGCAGAAATAACTTATAGTTATGACATCTTTATCTTTAAGCTGCATTTACCTTTTTTAATTGAAACCGCACCAATCTCCTCTTTGGCTCGTTCAGTTTCTGCAAGTTCAGATATTAAAGGAATGAGAAGTGGATATTAGTGATGCCAAATTCACATCTTATACTATTGAGAATAAAATTAAAGATAAAATGTATGTTGCACATGAGAGCAAAGCAAGCTGTAGAGAAAGCCAAAATACAAAGTGCTTATATGATTTTTTCAATTAATAAACTTCCTTAAATAGCAATAAAGAAATTCTCTTCCAAGGTGCAACTCTATTATCTTAAAAATGTAGGTAGTGACCATAAAAGAAGGTGGCCTATTCCATAGACTTTAGATCAATAGTTCTTAAAATTAAGGCCACATTCAATACAATGGGATACTAATTTATTAGTCTACAATTTTTTTTTTTAAACGGAGATTGGCTCTTGTTGCCCAGGCTGGAATGCAGTGGCGCAATCTCGACTCACTGCAACCTCTCCCTCCCAGGTTCAAGCAATTCCCCTGCCCCAGCCTCCCGAGTAGCTGGGACTACAACCGCCCGCCACCATGCCCAGCTAATTTTTGTATTTTTAGTAGAGACGGGGTTTCACCATGTTGGCCAGGCTGGTCTTGAACTCCTGACCTCAGGTGATCCGCCCGCCTCAGCCTCCCAAAGTGCTGGGATTACAGGCATGAGCCACCACGCCCGGCCATAGTCTACAAATTTTAAGTTACATATGAATTATAGAGAAGAGCATTTAAAAGGGCTTCTTTGTTTAGCTTTTAATCATGGTTGAGTCTGCTAAAAGTTGTTTAATACTGATTGCAAGCAAACAATATTTGACCTCAATGAATTAGTTTTACACTGTAAAAGATTAGCTGTAATATCATAGAAAATTTCATTTGAATGTTTCTTCAAGAGAGACAAAGAGAATAAAATGACAAAAAGTGGCCTTTTGGTTTCTCTAAATACTTAGAGTGGAAGACAGGAGAGCTGCCCTGAAGTCATAATCTGAACTGTTGGGGCTAGGACAGAGTATTGGATCACAAATCAAAGCTAGTTAAAGTCAAAGTTTTCTCTAGTCCACAGGAAAATAAAATAATAATAATAATAATAATAAGCTCGTGAATTTTCACGAAGTCTTATTTCCTCATTTTATAACTTTTGATTAGTTGAGGTTGTTCCCCTTGGTCATATATATTCTTATTTTTATTCTTATTGGTATTTGTTTGTATCACCCTTCACCCATATATGCTCAGCACTGATGCTCTGAGAACAACCAAATCAAACAAGGCGAGCCTTTACACCCCTCATCCTCTCTGTGCCACAAAACCCGGCTTTTGAAAGACATCAGACATCAGAAGGAGATCTTCATGTCACTTTCAGGTTTTAATTCCACAATGATAGATGCCCCAAGAGTCACAATTTAAACCCAGGCAAGAAGTGACATACATAACCTCTTCTTCGAGCTATCTCAATACCCTGGGCTTCAAGACTGAACAGACTCCTGGCTGTTTTATACCTTCCAGGTAAAGACTTTAGATCAATGGCTCTTAAACTTAAGCATGCATCAGGTTCACGCTGGAGGGCTATTGAAACAGATGCTGAGCGCAAAAGGTCTGATTCAGTATGTCGGAGGCATATTCTGAGAACCTGCATTTCTAACCAGTTCCCAGGGGATGCTTAGGCTCCTGATTTGGACCGCACTTTGGAAACTGATAACCAAATTTCCCCTATGAATCAGTCAAGACTATTCCTACTGTGAGTCCCCCTCCCTACTTACCTCAGTTACTACCATGAGTTTCAGCCTTCTAGCAGAAAACAGAGTCCATATGGCTCTGTATTTCTCCTAGAAGCTGACATACTTCCAAATCCCTTCCTCTGTGTCCTCTGTCCATCAGCAGCATTCACTCCTGTATCTTCAGCCTCTTCTCAGAATGTTCATTTTACTTTCTTCCTTTAATCAAATCCTAGCTCACTAAGGCCACTGTATCCCCTCCTGATGGTAGTCTTCTAAAATGGAGAATGCTTGTTTTTCCATCCTCCACATACCAAGGTGTATAGAAGTAATGCATATTTATATCCTCTTTGTTTCTCATTACTCTTCATAGATTATCTCCTTGCTTCCTCCAAACCCCAGTTCTTTTGAAGTACATGCTATCAGGTTGCACCACTCTCTACTCCTCTTCATTGTTGTCATCAACCAGTCTTGTGGCCTTTCCTGACATTCATTGACTATTTTTGCACACAGTTATCATCTGCTCTACTACTACTATGAATATTATTAAGAATCATTCTTAACCCTGTCTGCACCTTAGAATAAGCTGGGGAGTTTTTCTAAGCCTATGATATTCAGATATCTGGAGTGGGCAACAGAGCTTTGAGATTCTAAGTTAATGAGTCTGGCGTGAGCCCTGAGTATTGGTATATTTTTAAGATTTCCAGGATACTCTAATATTTTGCCAGGGTTGGGAGTCACTGATATACACAACTCATACAATTACATGATCTCTGACCTCCTTGGCCTCCTCAATTCAGAAAACTAGAAACTCCACTTCTCTGGCAATTTCCAACTATATTTGTACCCTCAGAATTTTCCTTTACTGCCAGAATTTTGATTTTAAAAATTATATTCTTTGGCACCATTTTTTTCTCTTTAGAGCTCACTTACACAAGAACTCCCATTATACGGTATCTGATCCCATTAATACTTCCATTCCTTGTTCTTGCCACTTTCTCATTTTTCAAGATTTTCCTCATATCCTCACTTTACTTCTTACCAAGCTTATGCATAAATGAGCCATAGTTAAATCACTCACGTATTTTCTGTTGTTATAGTCATCTGCTGTATTAATTTCCTAGGACTGCCTTAAAACTATTGGGTAGATAAATACAAAACAAATACATTTTTCCACAGTTCTAGAGGCTGGAAGTCCAAAATTCAGGCATTGGCAGGACCCTAGAAATCTCCCTCTAAAGGATCTTGGGAAGAATCCTTCCTTGCCTCCTCCTAGAGTCTGCTAGTTGCCAGGAACCCTTGGCATTCCTTGGCTTGAAGCTGCGTTGCTGCAATTTCTGCTTTTATGTTCATGTGGCAGTCTTCTGTATGCATCTGTGTGTCCCAAATTTCCTCTTCTTTTAAGGATACCAGTCATCAGATTGAGGGCCCACCCTAATCCAGCATGACCTCATCTTAACTTGAGTATATCTATGAAGACCCTATTTCAAAATCGGTCACATTCATAGGTACCAGGGTAGAGCTTCAACATATCTTTTGGTGGGAGGCACGAATCAACCCACTATGTCTGCCAAAACACCAAATGTACTTTATGCCTACCACCTGAGCAGTCATCGAAGCTGAAGGAAGACCCCCACCCTGCAGCAGACCTCACTTCAAATGTGGATCACATTTATGAGATCACTTAGCACTGGCCAGTAATATTACCACAGACCCAATAAAGTTGCTTTCTCATACTCTTAACAAAAGTTGAAAATATTCTCTTCCCTCCTTAAACATCCTACAACATAAAAGTAAGCTGCTGTTGAGAAATTCATAGAGAAAATAGGGGCAGACTAAATTACATCACTGTTCCACTACCACACCAGCACATACTCATCCATTTTTCTTTCCAGTTCCAAAAGGTGATCAGTTCCTGCCCCTTTTTAGTACCAATCCTTCCATATTTTTTTCTGGATCCCATCTCCTTTTGCCAAGTCAAGGCCTTTGTTCTTGCCAGTATTGCTTCGATCTGCTCCCTCATCAGTTTTCTCCTTCACTGATGCTTTCACAATGTCTCATGTCACTCTTTAGAGACACAGACAACCACATCCTTCAATTCTATATGACATTTTCAGCTACCTCATCTCTCTGCATAGAGCTGCTACACTCAATGTCACCACTTCTATCCTCTCACTCTCTGTTTTTCAAACCTGTTTTATTGTGAAAGATATCATATAAACAGAAGGCATATAACATTTGTGCACATTCTAATGAATAGCAATAAAGAATGTTCACCTTTGTAACCTCCTGCACACCTAAGAAATAGAATATCGCCAAGGCCTTTGAAACTTCTTACTTTTCCTACTAGCACTGCACGCTTCTCTATCTCAAAGTTACAGTTGTTCTATATTTTGTAATAATTATTTCCTTATTTTTCTATATGGGTTTTTATTACATGTATTTGTCTCTAAATAAAGGTAAGATAATTTTATATAAATTAAATTACATTATAATATTTAGTGTTATATAAATTAAACTGTATTATTTAATTTGTGTGATTTTTTGAGATATAACTATGTTGATATGAGTAGCTGTAGTTGATTAACTTTAACTGCTGTCTAGCATTCCAATGTTTGGTCTACAAACTATGGATTTATTCTCCTGCCAGTGGACACTAGGTCACAACCAGTTTTGTGTTTTCTAAATAATTCTGCTATGAACATTCCTGCACATGTGTCTCCTTTTGCACATGTGCAATAATTTTCATAGAAGTGAAATTGCTAGGCATGTACCCTAGATAAATGACACATTTTTCTCCCTAAATTCTGCATTCACATCAGCAGCATACGTGAGAGTTTCTTTTGCTCCGTATCACTACCATCACCAGAATAAGCCTATTCCCTAATTTTGAAAATTTAGTCTCATGTAAAATACTATCTTGTACTTTTAAGTACAATTCCGTTATTACTTAGAGGTTGAACATCTTTTGATACGTTTATAGAACATTTGCATTTTTTCTTTTTTTAATGCAGTCTTATATCTAGTGCCCATTTTTTTTTCTGCCCATTGTCTATCAAGGTCTTTGTCTTTTTTTTTTTTAATTTTTGGAGTTGTTCATCTATTTTTTGCTATTAATCTCTTGCTATTTAAATATATTACAAGTATTTTTACAAGTTTGTGGCTTGTCCATTATCTTTCTTTATTGCATTTATTGATAAATTGAAGATCATAATTTTAATACAATAAAATGTCAGCTATTAAATGTATGACTAGAATTTTGAACATCTAGTTTTTCAAATCCTCCCATATTTCAAGAAACTGTATATTTTCCTAGGTTAAAAGAAACTATGCCATGTTTTGCCTTTAGTATTTAAGTTCTTGAACCATTTGGAACTGATATTTTAGAACTGTATGAAATAAGAATAAATTATATTTTTGTATTGAATACCAGCTATATCAGCAACATTTAAAAATAATCTATCCACACTCTGACTTTCTGAAATGGCTGCTTTTTCTTATGTCAGATTTTTGCTCAAGTGTGATGTATTTTAAGTCTCTTTTTTTCCGTCCTATTGGGAAATTTGTTTATATCTACACCAATACCATTCTACCCTTTATAATACAATATCTGGGGACTGCTTTATTACTAACACTTAGGACACATAGTCCTGATCTCAATAGCCATGCTTTATAGTGCCATGTTGCTGTGTTCATTATGTCACTTTTAAATACTAAAATTTATTTCTGGTTTCCCATTTGAAATCCTGTCCCTTTTTCCCCTACCTCTTCATGTCTTAACTGAACCTAGATTTTACTTCTGTCAGTATTCATCAGTCTAGCTCTTTGTGTCAACCTTGATGAACATTCTTGGACTCTGAACCATGGCATTTTCAGTTTGGGGCTGGCACTCAGGACACCAACCTCATCTTTACACATAGTTTTAAACAAGAAGCATGCCTTACCCTACCACCTAAGGCAGTCCCAGGTCTCTCACATCTTACCTTTCCTGGTACTTAAACCTCATAAAATCATCACTCTAGTGCTGTATGAGTGCTGTTTTGAATATATTCTGGCAGCACCAGCTGTGATACTATTAGTAATTATATAATATATTATACAAAATCGAGCAAGTGAAAAGAGGTGCAAGTAATAATTATTCTGGGACAATATAGTACACCAAGACTGTTCTAACTGACTAAGATCATACATAGATCAACCAAGATTATATTTGGCATGCAGTGTGTGGTCTAGAGACAACTCATTTTATATCAAGCATGCTGGTTCAGGCCTATAGATCTTCCCGGAGACTTCTGCCATTTCCATGCCAGAGTATTTAAACTGAGTCAAAAAAAAAACCATGCAATTTTATTAAGAGCAGTTGTCTCCAAATATTCTTCTAACATACATAGCTGAATAAATTCAATGGGACTTTACTTTTAAATTCTGCATACAGATGTCTCCTAAATGATCTTGACATATATTAGTAGATTAGATGATAGATATCTGACTCACATTTAGGCACTGAAGTGTGGTTAAGGAGATGAATATAGTCAGGCTCGGTGGCTGAACATAACACCCAATCTGTGCAATGCTAAAATCAAGGGGTGAAAAATGCCTGATTATTAGATCCAGAGCTAAAAATGACTATATTTTGGCTTTATCCTGGGCTTTGGTGGCTATTTTCCTCAAAATTCAAACTGACTACTGGCTGGCTGACCATGCATATGGAATACATGATCCCAGCCCTAAGGTCCTTGAGGTGGAATAAAGTGACCTGGGACAGTGCTACCCAAGGTTCTGAAAAATAGTGATCCTTGATGTGATCATTGAAAGAGAAAGGGGTGATGTGGTCACATATATTTGGTAAACAATGTCTACTATATTTCTTCTTGAAGATTCACCATATATACAGTGTTAAAGCCATGAAGCACTCTACAGTCTACACATCTACTTGTTGTGTCCTCTCCATGCTTGGAAATGACTAATTTTATTGTCAACCTCTGTGTTGCTATCCAATGTGTGGAGAGGCACATGCAGGGGAATGTAGGTAGGGGAGGTGGGTGTGTTGAGGTATTTTTGCTCACACTATGATAAATAAAGGAGTCTTTGCTGACTTGCAGAAATTGTCAGTCTAGTTTCAGCATCCCTGCCTAGCCCAAGGTACACTTTCTTCATCCACACCACACCCTGACACATAACTTTCGATGTGGAAGCATGGAGTGCTCTTCTTTAGCATCGCACCAGTAATCTGAAAGGTTTTCATTTTCTTGAAGCTCATGTTACTATGAGACTCTATGATATGGTTTGGCTGTGTCCCCACCTGAATCTCATCTTCAATTCCCACACGTTGTGGAAGGGACCCAGTGGGAGGTAATTGAATCATGGGGGCAAGTCTTCCCTATGCTGTTCTCGTGATAGTGAATAAGTCTCACAAGAGCTGATGGTTTTAAAAATGGGAGTTCTCTCACACAAGCTCTCTTTTTGCCTGCAACCATCCATGTAAGATGTGACTTGCTCCTCCTTGCCTTACACTATTATTGTGAGGCCTCCCTGGCCATGTGGGGCTGTCAGTTCATTAAACCTCTTTCTTTGGTAAATTGCCCAGTGTGGGATATGTCTTTATCAGCAGCATGAAAAGGGACTAATATATGCTCTATTCTGAAGGTGATGTACGTCCCAAGCTTGTCCATGTCCTCCAGTATTTTTCCTACAGTGATTTCGGGTGTTTCCTCAGGACCTAGAGTAAACAATCCCATACTACAAACTCAATCCACTTTCCAGTTATGGCCTTTAATCCAGTCTTAATGACAAATCCCCTTTTACTTTTTTCTTGGACTGACTTTAACCCTGTCAATCTCATCTATCCCTTTAAATTCAACATTATGGAATTGCATCACATAAATACATAGTTTATGTTAAATTATCTATCTCTATCATTCTCATTTGACCTCACAACTTAACATACTGTAAAATCATATCTCAAATGTGCAGGTTATATACAGAAAACTATGTGCACCATACTATATGGATAATTTAAAGGCTTTTCAATGGTATCTATAATGATATGTAATTTTCATTTTAGGCATTAACTTTATAAGTAGCCTGCTGTATGTAGCAGCTGAGTAAAAATTCTCCTGCTGTATGACTTCAATGCCAAAATACATTTTTAGTTGGGAAAATGGCTGGTCACCTTGTTATCAGATAATTTAAGCAGTTTGTGAATTATATCAAATTAATTTTTGTGTTGAAGGATAATGGCCATGTCAAGTGCAAATCTCTCAACCATATAGGGAGTAGAATATTAACTCTTATGAAACTTATATTGTGTTTAAGATGATTTGGCAAGCTAATTTGCTAATTTCCTGCAAAATATGCTGATCTCTTCAAAACCTGATTGGATAGTCTGTTTCATAGATAGCAGAACTTACAGATTTTTTTTTATTGCAAATGAATATTTTTATCTATATGTCACATTTTTCTAGGAAGAAGATTTTCATTTTCAGAGCAATCTTCAATCTAAAGCTCTCTCCCAGTGCTACAAAATTATCAGATTTGTTTGATATATTTTCTTGATTAAGCATTTCTACAGACTAAGTATCAGCATAGCAAAGACTCCATAATATAGAGTTCCAATCAGCTTTACATTTAACTAAAAATTTTCATGGAAATATAAATGGAATTTTAGATTCATGTTAAACCTCTCTTGTAAAGTTCTCAATGTCTATGTGTATACTTCAAACTGTAACTTTTTTTAAAAAAAGACATTCCTATCAAGCTACTCAATATATTTTTCAATTTTTATCTGATGTATCTACTGACATAATATGTCTCAAAAACTACTTGGGAGGCTTAGGCAGGAGAATCACTTGAACCCAGGAGGCGGAGGTGCAGTGAGCCAAGATCACGCCGCTGCACTCCAGCCTGGTGACAGAGAAAGACTCCATCAAAAAAAACAAAAACAAAAACAAAAAAACAAACAAAAAAAAACCTCAGCACTAAATAACAGGCATTTGTTTTATGTATTAGTAGCATCACCAGTACTTGTTTACCTCTAACCTCTCAAAAAATATATAAGCACATTGATGTCACGCATAGAACTGAGGACTGACTTAAATCCTATATACAAAGCTTATGTATTTCTTCCTAAGGCAAAATATTTTCCATTATGCTTAAAATAACTTTTATTAATAACAGTCAGTTACTTCATCAAACTAAGAAATATCAACAATTTCTCAGCATTTTTTCCTAAGCATATTGTCAAAGTTACCATTGCTGCAAATGCCACAGTATGTTATGGTTATCAGTTAATACTTCATAATCCAAGAATAGAAACCTTAAAAGGGAATTGTCACATTCCAAGAGCAATGGTTAAGAAAATGTTGAGGGGCTACCTTTCATTAGAGACAGGATATTCATAGTAGACAAATTAGGTTGCCTACTGGTTTGATCAACTGATTAATCTTTAGGATAATTCAGTCTGATGTGTACTGAAGAGTTCACTTATTATACTGCAAAATGAGAAATAAAAATGTAACACTTCACAAAGGGGTTATGATGTGGCCAAATTAACAAATGAAAGCTCTATAGATAAATTTTAATAAGAATGAATTCACGGAAAAGACAGGGATAAGTAATATTGCATATTCAGCACAACAAATAATCATACCAAAAAGCTGGTAAGCCATTCTCAAAATTAGCATTAGCATAGTCTATAGCAGAAAATTCAAATGAGTAAGCTGCCCAAATATGCTCTTCTTTAAAAATTTTGTTCAACATACTTGCTTTTACTTGTTTGTCACTTGGAACTGTTAATGACAAGAAATAATAAGGTCAACAGTAATTACAAATCTGCTTATCTCTTTCCAAAATAATTGTAAGGTTATCTTAATTGTTTAAAGATTGTGTGTATAATATTGGAAGCTAAAGAAAAATAAGATCTGAGAAAAGGAAAATATAATACTGTGCCATTTTTCTGATATAATCCAAATATATTCCATGAATTATAGAATTTTATTGTTTGTTATTCATACTTCTCCCAACACAGAATATTCATTTACAAATCAATCATCTTGCTCTCCATTTTTAATTATCCAAGGATCTCATTTTTTTATATACAGGCAAATGCATTTTCCTCAAAGTCTATAAAATAGTGTGAAAAGAATGAGTTCACTTCATAAATTATTCAAATTGATGGTTTTAATTTTTGAACTACAGCTAGTTACTGCTAAGTTGCTGCATTGTAATCACACACTGAAAAAAATAGATAATAATTTCAAGCAATTTATTGTATTTTGTCAGGTTCAATATTAGACAGTAATATTTAACTATTAAAACTTTTAAAACTGGCTACACCAATAGTCATTCTGTATGTCTCTCTGTCTTTCTATAATGCACACACTATCTTAGGTTCTTCTTACATGCGTAAGTGAGAAGATGTGTTATGCTTGAGGAAATGCAACTCTGAACCAACAGGGTGTTCTCTGTAAAGTAGACAAAACATTTCTTCCCAAAGGTCAAATACTGTGAAAATATGAAATGCTGAAATGTGCAATTATTGCATCTTGTAAATTATTTTAAAGTCTTCTGTTTTTAAATTTATAAAAATGTAATTGTTCTATTTGGTGTTTCTTCCTTCACTCAATAAGCCATCATCAAGCGCCCAATGTGTCCTGGCATTACAATAGGTGCTCTGGGAATAAAGAGAAAAAACAGTCGGCTTCTTCCAATTTCTGACTATATAAGGTAGAAAAGGGAAAAGATAATACGATTTTAACAGCATATGAAATATTATAAAAGTAAGAAAATGATACTATGGGAAGTAATTGGACAGACACTTAAAACAGATTTGGGCTGTCTCAGGATATTTTATAATCTTTAAAAATGAATAATAAATGTGGATTCAAACCTGTAGTTTTCCGTGGTTTGTGGTAGGGTGAGACTACAGTTGGGCCCCTTTGCGTGGTTTTTTAAATAAGATTGAGCAGATGCTATTTCCATTTAAATAAAATGAAATGGGAAGAATGACTGATAGGTATTACATAAGGTTATGATCACCCATACACACACACACACACAATACTAAATAACTCAGTGAAGCTCCTTCAGTAGGAGTTAGCCAGGCAAAATCAAGAGGTGATAGTTTTAAATGAGGGAAATATAAATGGTTTCAGAAATTTTCATTTGAAATGATTAATTGGGCAGGTTAAATGCTAGAAAACTTCAAGACAATAATTTGGTATCCACAGCAACTGCACTTTTAGTTTTTGTTGATAGGTTTATTTGTCTTGTCTAGTTGTTTGACTCTCAATCAGTTTTTTTCTCATCAGAATGTAAATATATTTTGGGCAAAATCTACTTTTGCTCTCACTGCAACTCCCCTGAGCACTCAGGAAATGTTATTAAGTAAGATTATGAATAAGGAGATAATATTTGCTGGAAGTGATTATTCCATATTTTAAAAACAAAGCGATGTATAATGCATTTACAAAAAGTGTTTTGTTCTTGTTTTGTTTTGCTTTTACACTAAACTGTGAAAGAGTACTTCGCAAATACTGCACAGATGAATTCACTGAGGGTCTTGTGAAGTTGCAGACTCTGATTCAGTAGGTCTTGAGTGGGGCCAAAAATCCTTCATTTCTAATAACATTTTGGGTGATTCTGATGCTGCTAGTTCACAGAACACACATTGAGGAGCAAGAGTGTAACATTTGGCTTTCATTTTCTAAAACTGCATTGATGTTATGTCCATGTCAAGAACTTGGAAAAAACACTGTGAGATGGAAGCATTCCCCACCCTTTACTGGCGCTGCCTTACCACCTGTTTGAGGCTACAGCATTAATAAACACTGGACATGAGTATTCGGAATCCAGCAACAGTGGTCTTACTCACCTGAGTGTTCTTTCTTTGGTGACTTTGCTGTATCAAAAAGGAAAGAAAAAAAAATCAGCATTCTATGTCATTCAATTGTAATTCAGTATTCAATTGCAAATCAAATAATATTATGAAATTGTGAGAACAGAGGAATTTAAAAACAGTTACCTGGTTCCACATGTTTTTCTTTCTTTTCCTGTTCTGAAACATATTATTATTGTTATTATTATTATCGTTATTATTCTAAAGTTTATGAATCCCAACTTAATTGTTTTAACACAAAGAAACATGCATGTGCTGATGCCAGATTGCAGCAACTAATAATGGCTTACATAAAAAGGCTAAGATTATATACTTAAAATAATTCTTTTTTCCATTTATCTTGGGAGTTTCCTTATGGGGCAGCATCAAAATATTCTGAATATTAGAGGAATTTGAATTTTTTACAGATGATAAACCAGAAAAATAAAATAGAATCCATAAAGGGTGAAAAAAATTAAATTTGCTATTATATTAGATCAATATGAAATAAATTTGAGTCAAAATAGTAAGTACAAAAGATAATTATTACAGCTTTTTAAGAAATTGCTTAGTTTTTCTGAGACAGGGTCTTGTTCTGTTGCCCAAGTTGTAGTGCAGTGTTATAATTCTAGTTCACTGCAGCCTCCACTTCCTGGGCTTAATTGATCCTCCAACCTCGGCCTCCCAGGTAGCTGGGATTACAGGCACACACCACCATGTGTAGCCAGATTTGTAGTGTGTGTGTGTGTGTGTGTGTGTGTGTGTGTGTGTGTGTGTGTGTGGAGACAAAGTCTCACCATGTTGCCCAGGCTGGTCTCAAACTTCTGGGCTCAAGAGGTCCACCCACCTCAGCCTCTCAAAGTGCTAGGATTACAGGCATGAGCCACAGCACCGCAGCTTATTGCAGTTATTTTAAAATAATTCTCAGAAAGATGAAGATTAGCACATTTCACGTGGACTGCCTCTTCTAAGAATCTTCTTACATGGAAGAAATAGCTGTTAAGCTAAGACAAAGGCTTTGTGAGGCATATTTAAGACACTAAAATAGAAAAAGAAGTTTCAGGGTAAAACATTTGCCTTGCTTTTAGGACAAATGCTCCTTTTGGAGTCCTCTTTATATAGCGTTTCTTTTCAGGAATCTACTTTTGTCAATATTGTATGAGACAAAGCATTATTTTGTTCTCAAGATTAAGCTGACATTTACATTATAATAAGTACTAATTTTATAAGAATTGCAAGCACTAATTTTACATGAAGTGCTATCATCTACATTTCTATTCTTATTTATTTTGCCTTGACAACCTTGTCAAATTAATGTAAAAGAAGATTTTCAAGAAATACTTTAACATACCCACATTTTTATCTGATATTTTAAAGAAGAATGGAAAGATTCTTAAAGTTTTATTTAATGAATAGATTTTGAAGACTAGAATATGTTCATACTGAAAGAACTCTACAAACTATATTTTAAAAATATAGAGTGTCATAGAATGCTACGGTCATCACATCAATTTCCCAAGTATACAATTTTGTTAGTCAGGCTTCTAATTAAATAAGTGTGGTATAATGAGCAACTTATCCTCTTTTAAGACAGCCTTTAAGCAGCAAAACAAAAAAATGAAACAAATGGCTTGGCCAAGTGTTGCAGGTCAAAAAGAAGAAGCTATGACGATTTAGCTAAAATTAAACAAAATGAGAACATTATCAAATGTTGTCTGGCAAATGAAGAGCAATTAAATACATTGTTTAATTTATTGCTTAACTGAAGCTCTAATTATAAAACATTTCCAAGAAATTTGTGATGACAGTCACAAACAGTGATAACAGTCAAAAAAGTACTGGAAGCAGATTTGGACATGCATCAGAATCGAATACCAGCTATACATAAGATTAAAAGTTAAAATAAAGTCCCCTCAATCTTATCAGAAAGCTGAAAAATAGCTGTGCTAATTTGTTCATTATATAGGATAGCTCATGGTGTAATTATTGAATTACCTTAGTAAATATACATTGATTTACCCTTTAACTCTACAGGGACTGCAAACTCATGTTTATGGTTGATTTTTGAGGTCTCTTTCTTTTACTTTTTATTTTGAAAAAAATTATAGCTCACAAACATTTACAAAATGTACAGGATGGTCTCTTGTACTTTTCATCCTGTTTCCCTTAACCATAATTAAAAATATCTGAAAAGTGAACAACCTTTAAGTTGTGATTATTAGAAAAGTAGAAGCAAAATAAAATATAAAATTGGGGTGTACCATCGAGTAAAGCAACCCTCAAGATAAAAAATCCAAATCAAAGAAATTCAAAGATACAACACTAACAATAATAAAAGCAAGTCTAGATGATAAACCATAGCAAATGAGTGAATTTGAAAAGAACTGATAGGTGTTTTGAAGAAAACTATTTCTTCTCCTTATTGCTGCCCGAGTCACAATCTGAGGACCTTCTCAAGGAGGGAAACAGTTGGGTTGTGAATGAATGCGTGAAAAGGCATGTTTATTTATTAAGTGCATCAGTGCCCTGAAGATTGCCAAGGAGCTGCAGTGTGTGCAGGAACTTTTAAATCTTATAAACTGTAATAAAGGGCCTTAAGGCTATCTCTATATGTACTTTAATACTATTTTTCGAATCTCCAGTTGTTCTCCATTTTCCTGCTGGTGCAGCGTTTATAGAGTGCTTTCTGTATCTCTGTGCCAGTACTCATCAGTAGCTCTGCACACACGTAAATCTGGAACTGAGAGAACTCTCTGTAGATGGATTGCTCCCCCTGGCTGAGTTGTAGTATAATTTCACGAGTGTCTCCACAGGGCATTTTAGAGCATTTTTACAACGTTGAATGTCTCAGCATCCTTGCTTTTTGTAGGGCCAAAACACATAAATATATTTTAATTGGTATATATTTTAAAACATTTTTGATATCACTAGAATCTTAAAATCTATATTGCTGGTAATGTGCTAATTTTTAATAGTGTATTGAATAAGTTCAAGGGTTTTTTTTTTTTTTGCTTTCTTTTGTTAAATATATCTTATTTTCTTCAGAGGAGAACCTATATTTGTGAAAGACATACATTAAGTTATTGAGCTTGACTGAATTGTTAGCACACAGTCTTAATAGTGTTAAAGCAACAGTGGATGAGGCTGAATAGCAACCCTATTAGACAGAGCTCATAGTGAGTGTAGGGGGGAAATTATGTTATGGGAAAAATGTCATATATCACATGGGCATGCCAAAATATCTACAGATTACAAAAAGAAAGATAGGAAAAAAGTTGTAAAACTAGCCTGTAAAAGAACTTCTAGTCAATTTTCAAAGGACTGACAACTAACCAGATTAGGACTAAATTTACAAAAACATAAGTCAGTTTGGGTTAATGGAATGCAGTTTTACTTTTGATTACAAGCCCGTCAAGAGTATTGTTAGATGATTGCATGAGCTTGAGAAAGAGTTCTAAAAATGATTACTATGCTTCTCAGTCCACTCTAACCCCCAGACTGTGTATTTTTTCACTTGGACAAAAAACAACAGAGTTCACATGCATAAAACATAGGAAAAGCGGATTCAAAATTGCAGGTCTAAATACAGCAGCAGGCAAATAATAGTAGTAAAAAAAAAAGTACACAAATACACTGCATGCATTTCCTTACTTTTTCCCTTGGGTTGTTCTACTGAAAGAAATACAAACAAAATCATTGCTCTTAAAACTTTAAAGATAAAACGTACTACCCTACATATTGATTAGACTGTAATTTTTCCCACCCCTCCTTCCAATTTTCTCTCCTTAAATTTCACAATGAGGTGAAATTTCACAGTGAGGCTCTGAGGTATTGTTAATTACTGTAGGTGCTTCCATAATTTGATTGGCAAATATTATTTGACAATAAATTAACCCAGGATTATACTGTTTAACCATTTTAAATTATTTACACCTGATATGTAATAGTCTCTTAAACACATAAAAACACATGTGAACAAGTCTAGGAGGCACAGGTATACTTGCCAAATGAATTATTCAAGACCGAAAGGAAGAAATCAGTTCCTAATTGATGCCAGTCTATCAAAAAGTAATTTAGTGTGTGCTTTCTAGTAAAATAAATGTTTGATACTGAAAATTTTTCAATTTCTTGTTAAGTAAACATTTCTTTGGAAACAATTACTGTGAAAGGATATGCAGTATTTATTTCCATTACTGCGAAATACTTCTCATAGCAGTATTGTCAGAATAGATTTGGCGCTCTCTCTCTCTCTCTCTCTCTCTCTCTCTCTCAATCTCAATCATTTTTTCTTCTCCTCTATCCCACACATAATTCTTTCTTCTACATCAATCCTTTAAGAAGGTATGCTGTTTCATGGTTCATCAAACATAAGGCAGAAAAAAAGAAATATGTCCAGTACCTTCTGCAGGTTTTTTTGTTTTCTTGGAATCTGAAAACACAAAGATAAATTATTAATAAAACAGATACAATAAATCAACAGCTGATCAGCTCACAACAAATTTCTATAAACAATCAAATAAAATTGATTATTCAACAAATTGATCATTTGTATATTTCTAGAATATGAGACTTAGAAACTGTTCTGTTTTGTGGGAATAAGTATTAGAGTGAAGCAGGAGTGAGAAACTCTTTATAAAATATCTTATATTAATAATATTTTATAAAGAATATAAAACATTGAAAAATATAAAGGAAAATATACCCACATATAATTTATAAAGAAATTTTGTTTTGCCTATGTAAGTTAGTAACCTGTTAATAGAACATCAAACTGAGTAAATATATGCTCTGTTTCCATAAAGATGCTTAGGAGTTCATGAAGTTAACTTGAAACTTTCATTTGTTCAATCTAAGTCAGTCCAGGTGAATTATGTTGCACTGTCTTTGAATAATCAATACACTTCCAATATAGATATTCAGACATTCTTATGGTAATGGAAAAGAAATAGATTACTGTTGACTCATGGGTTACTGATGAATACATCACTATATTTATAACTGTTATGTAGTAATGTCTATTTCGTGGTCAAAAGACATCGATTTCATTTATAGTAGACGGGCATTCAGCCTAGATCTGATAAATTTATTATTTTCTATTATTTAGGCCATGAAACTTTCTGCTCCCACCACTTGAAAATGAAAACAAGAGGTTTTTAAGCTCATTTGTTTTAAGATTGAAGCACCTGAGCTTGAATTTTTGCTTAGAATATTTTATTTTTTAATCTTCTTTGTCCTTTTACTGTTTCTGTAAGAACTTTTAAATTCTCTATTACTGAAATTAGAATCATAATAATGAACTATGAATTGATACCTGCAAAAGGTAGCTAAATTGTTTTCTGGCTTATAATTATCTGGCTTGGAACCTAGAACAGTAGACATTCACTAATAGTTTGCAAGTTAATGGATTTCTGTGCCTTACAGAGGTGTGGTGGTATCACGACTTCACTTCCATGATGAAGAAAGGGAACTAAAATGTTTGGATATGACAATGGACTCATTGTCTCTTCACAAAAGGCAGTTAGATGGTCAACAAAATTGTTTTATGTAACAATAATAATCAGTGCCAGTAACATTGTGGTGAAGGTAATGTCCCACTTCCGTAGATGTATAAGCTAGAAACATATTTTAGGAAACAAACTAAGAAAAGAATCCAGAAAATCATAAAAATTAACATGCTTTTTGATGTGGTAATTCCATTTCTAGAAATCCATAGAGAAAAAAAGCAATATTATCATAAAAATAAATATTTAGGGAAATGCTTTTCTCAGGATATTGCTTTGTGTCTCTCAGTAATGGGCATATTAAACACTACCCTCTGAACAATAAGAGAGTGTTGATGAATTTGTGGTATATTCATACAATAGAAAAATACACAATTATTCAAATGATGTTTTGCTAATTATGCCACAATGTGGAAAATATTAACTAAATAAGATAAATTAAATAATGCAAAATAAAAATAAAAACATAATATAAAATGACTTTATGTGTGCATGTGAGTGTGTATGAAGAAAGATTAGAAGAAAATATGCCAACATACTAATGGTAGTTGTGGACAGATTAAATAATTAGGCAAGATTTTATTACCTCTCTTTCTGAATTTCAAATTTTTCTGTAACACGAATATGTTTTATTTGTAAGGGGAAAAAACTCTTGATTTTAAAAAATAATCGATTCCTGAGACAAAACATTTGCTTAGTCATCATTTGTTAAACACTGTTGTGTCCAGCACACTACAATGAAAATAATTTTAGAATAGATTTTTCTTAATTAACCCCAGCTCTGAAAACCAATGTGAAAAATATTCTTGCTATTTAGTTTGTCATCAGGAATTTTAAATTAGTAGGCTACATTTGCTATCTGAAACATATGTGCTTTGCAAACATTTTCCTATTCATTTTCTTCCTGAATAATTATTTTAATTGGATAAGCAAGCAATTCAAATACACAGAAAAAATATGACATAATACAGTTTTATATTAACAATATGCAGTGGCCACTTCTACTTGAAACATAAGAATCTTATAACACAACAGCTTAAGGTATGAACTTGATAGTTCAATGTCCGTTTTAAGTTGTCAGTTAGTTTGACTCCACTATACTGAAATAGGATTTCTGCCTGCCCAAGCAGTTCTGTGTTCCTCACTGAACAATCTCTTGAGTCCAGAATACAGCCAACAGGAAAAGCACAGGAGGATTATGAAGAGAACATGGTCATGTAGGAATAAATTCAACCTAAAGTTTGGGGGAAATGTGGGAACACAGAGAAGATGAAACATGGCATATTAGAACAAGATTATTTCCAATCCCTATATTCTCTGACCAGATACTGGAATGGAATATGTACAGAAAGTTCAATATAATAAATGTAACTATAGAATATCTAAAATTTTAATCTGCCTTTCTATTTCCTAATAATAAGAATCAATAATATATTTTATCAGATATCAATTGTATTAAAATGAAAGAATAAAACACGATATGAAGTCCAGGGTCAGGCAAATGAAACTCAAAATGTCATGATAAAGTTATGTATTTTCTTTTGGAGTCAATAGTGCAACAGAAATGTAGAACTAAAGTAATAGAGGAACTTAAAAATATAGTGCTTGGAGTCCAAAGATCACATACTGACCCTGAAGAGCTATTAATACTAGCTGGTAATATTCATGCTATTAAACTTCATTATGCCCTTTCAGCATTCTTGGCTCAAACAGCTTAAAACATTACAAAGGCTTACTTGGTCAATATACTTCCCTGCCCAATAATCTGGGCAGTAGTCTTTTAAGAACATTGAGGCTCCCAGCACCTGTGATTTAAAAGCAGTGATGTGTTTGCCATCTGTTCAATCCGTCATTCACTCATCTGTAGCAGTGTCTCAAGTAAGGCCTATTATGTTCATAAGTGATGCCAGATGAAAATGAAATACCAGCTGGGCGCGGTGGCTCATGCCTGTAATCCCAGCACTTTGGTAGGCTGAGGAGTGCGGATCACTAGGTCAGGAGATCGAGACCATCCTGGCTAACACTGTGAAACCCCGTCTCTACTAAAAATACAAAAAAATTAGCCGGGTGTGGTAGCAGCCGCCTGTAGTACCAACTACTCGGGAGACTGAGGCAGGAGAGTGGCATGAACCCGGGAGGTGGAGCTCGCAGTGAGCAGAGATTGTGCCCACTCCAGCCTGGGCGACAGAGCGAGACTCCATCTCAAAAAAAAAAAGAAAAAAAAAAACAGAAAGAAAATGAAATACCAATTTATATTGAAGGGAAAAGTTAATTTTCTGATAGCCTACTAGTGCTAGTACTGAAGTATCCTATCTCCTTTGTGGAACCTGCCTGATTGACAACTTTAGTCAACTATAATACTAGGAATTTTGCTTTGTTTTTCAGCATGATTTATCTTCGGGTCTGAATCTGGAAGCCATAGAACTAGCGACTAATTCTCACATGTATTCAGCTCTATTTTCTCTATTTATAGTAAAAAATAAATCTCATATGGCTGGTTCTCAGTGGATTTCTATCTTTCAGAAGATAACCTGGAATTCCTAGAATTCCGGTTGCTAGGAATTCATCACTCAATCTGAGTTTAGATGAATAAAATCTACCTGGATCTGCTCGTAGAATTCAAGGAGCAGCTAGTGATTACACACACCTAAGAAGGACAGTCAATAGCTGATTATAACTTCCCAAACCTAAAAAGCTCACTGGAATATACCTCCTAGTAGTTAAAAAAAAATCATTCCTTGCCTGTGGTGTGAGAAAACAGGTACCTATTCATATTTCTTCTGGGTATTATATTTATCTTGAGTCCTGAATATTACTGGTGCGTGCATAGAATATATATTTGTTCAGAAATGTGCAAACCAAGGAAATGTGCTCATCCTCCATAAGGGATAAAAGTTAATTGGACATGGTCCCTTAAGACAAAAGGCTTAAGTCAATTAGAGTAATAGGAAAATAAACACAAGTAACATGAAGTACAAGGTGGCAAGAAATAAATAATAGTAGAGAGATACAAATGGAAGATTATACATGCAGGAAAGTATTTTTAATTGGTAGTATCAGACCAACTTCTCAGAGACAGGAAAATGTATGAATGTTCATAGAAGGAAAAAGGATAAGCTCTGTTAGGATAACAGCAAGAACAAAGGCAAGATGCCACATTGTATATGTAAAATAGAGAATGACTTGGTACAGATGAAGATGATAAAGGAAGAACTGGGTGAGAATATCAGATAACAGCTCACCATGATGTCCTGGCAACTTTGCACATATCCATACAGGCCATGCAGGTAAAGTTTTGAACCACAGTTAATTTAAGTTTTGGTAGGATGCTTTGTGATTCTCCCAGAACACAGAAAGACGGGAGGCTTGTAAAGACCTGCTGTGAGACCACCTCCCACATGGCTCCCTATCTCTCCCAGGAGGATGTCAAGAGGCAGCTTCTCATCACCTCCTGATTCCGCCTAAAGCTGCCTGGAATGGAGCTGCAGACCACAAAATCATTTTGCTGTAGTCTGGATTAGCTCCTCAGCAATGACGTGTCCCCAACTTGTGTTGCATTATCTGGCCCCTTTTGTTTGGGCTTCATCCTTTTTGGTGTGTGGGGCAACAACCTTGGAGAGCTGGAACCTCTGGCTACTCTTACATTTGCTATGAAAGTAATAAATTGTCTCAATCTCAAAAAGGGATCATTGCATCTTTACTGTTGGAATTGTTTAGGCCTTGGTCATGACCTTGCCTTGATGTACGCTTAATAGGCAGTTAGGAAAGACGATTCAGAAAAAGAATTTAAAAACTTTAATTGAAGGTTAACACTTGTAGAGTACATTCAGTGTACTCTACAGAGTCATTGTAAAGCCACTCAATATTTTAAATAGGTTATGACATGAAAAGTTGAATGAAATCTGTTGACTATTTTGGAAAGAGGTAATATTAGAGGCAAATTAATTATTTTTGTCAAAGTTTTTCATTTTCACCTCAGGACTCCTTTAAAATCTTAACTATTAAAACTCCCAAACAGCTTTTATTTACGTAGCTTCTTTCTATTGATGCTTATCATTTTAAAAAAATTAAAGCTGAGGAAATTTTTAAAATATGGTATTATTTATGCATTTATTAAAAATAATAAACCTATTAAATGTTAACATAAATAACATATTTTTATGATCGATACACTTCCCAATACAAAAATATGGTGAAATGAGTGACTTTTTTATTACTTTTGTGACTATTATTAATGTCTGGTTTAATGAGAAAGCAATAGGATTTGCACATCTGCTTGGGCGTTTACTGTGTTGTATTATTACCATTGTTTATCCTCTAGAAGTCTCACTCAAGTGAGAACGACAGTGAGAAAGGCAAATGAAAACTTCCTATCATTTATAAAAATAATTTTAACCTTATAGAACCACTGAAAAGATCTCAGAGACCCACAGGAGTCCTTGACCACTGATTTTGGAGATTATTGATCTAGTTTACATGAGAAGTTAGTAAGACCAACATGAGGTCACAAATGGCAATGTGAGATCACAAATAAAGAACTGGATCCTGTGAATGATGATTAGTTGTTCTAATTATTATAGGAAGAATTAAACAAAAGGATAGCTCAGGAAAAGTGAAAATTCTGGAGGACTAAATGTCAGGGGAAAAAGAAAAAAATGGGGTTGAAGCTGATACCAATATTTCAGTCTTGCTGCCTACAAGGAGTGTTTTATATGTTTTTTAGCTGGTCATGGACACTGGATCTCTTGAATCTACAAAAGCACAGCTCATCCCAAGCTCCTCCAATATTGCATATTGATTATGGACAATGTTTCAAAAGGAGAAAAAATGAAAAGCGGTATATAAGCCAGAAAAAATAGAACAAAAAAATCCGAGAGGCAGAGCAATGGGAGAAAAAAAAAAACAGATAAAAAGCTTAAAGCTGTGAAATTGAAACTTGACTACTGTTTTATATACCCCAAAGGCTTAGAAGACTTTGATTTGAATGCCGATGAGAATGAGTCTGTATTTTACATAGTTCTGAAATTTGATAAAACTGTCAACAGAGTAGGAGCCCTAGGATTTTGAGAAGCTATGTTTTATTCCTTATATCTTGAGAAAGACTAGATTAAAATTACTTTCAAAAAGTAGCTCACCCTTCTGTGTGAGGTGAAGTAGAAAAAGCACATTCATGCAAAATGTATGCACATAATAGATCCAGTTATCCAAGGGGAATATAGACAGAATAGCAGTCAAAACCCAACTCAGGATATTGGTAAATTGTACTCACAAAAGGCTCAGTGGGATTTTGCATAAAACATACCTTCCTTCTTTTCATCCTTCTTAGCTGCTGCTGAAGTAATGAAAATAGCGTTAAGGCATATGAAATGACCATTCCTCAGAATACTCCCCAGAATATGAGAATGTATTCCACATATTCATAAATTCAGTGGTCACCTATACACTAATCAATTCATCCAAATCTATGATAGGAGTGTAAGCAGAAAATATTACTTCATATAAAGATATTTGTAAACTCAGAAATAAGCATTAGCAAAAGAAGAAAAAAATATATGGAGTTACGTAGACAAGAAGTCAAATTTATATGTATATGCTTAGTGTAAATTCATTTTAGATTTTAAATTTTATATCTGAGGAAACCACAATCTCTTCTAGAAGGTCGTAAAATATAGGCTGTGACTGGATTAATCAAAAAAAGTGGAAGTGATATTCCAAAAATTATCTATGCTTAGCTACTGAGGAATTATATACTAGTCTGCAGTCTACATTTGCACTTATAATAACCATGTATAAAATGCCCAATTTCAGGAAGGGAAAATAAATATCCTACCCTCCTTTTAGCAAACTTATGCCTTCTTTTACATAGAGAAAAAGGTACAGAACACTTTAATCACCTTTGAATTCTGGCTTCCTCTGTGCTGATATTTATCCAATTCTGGACCATGAATCTAAATCTGGATCCACGTTGTTGCTTATGGGTATTACCAGAAATATTTGGGAGAGGTGCTCAACAGGCTTAGAATTGCTCCAAGCAATATGACCCCTGGTTCTGTGTAATGTTTATCCAGGAGCCAAAATCATTCAGGGGTATCTTAGGCCACATTAGTTGAATTTGAGATTGTGCATATTCCAGTATGGTAATCTCACCTCAGCGGGATAGAATGTTGGGGATCACTTAGAAACAACACTTAGAAAACACTTAGAAACAACTGCTATGGACATTTGCTCTGTGCTACAATTGCCAAAGCTCTTTCAGGTACATCCTCTTATTGGGTCTTCATCCTGACCTTGTTATAAAAGGCAGCCCAGAGCAGAAAATGAAGCCTCTGAAACATTAAAATAATTTGCAGAGTATAAGCAGCAGAATTGGCTCTAAAAATCAGGAATAAAAGACAGGAAGAAAATGTATTTTAATTTACCACAGGTTATTTTTCTCTATTTTCTAAATGTTATTGACGTGCTATTACTTTTGTAGTAGAAAAGTGAATTTACAAATAAGTTAATTCTACTTTGGGACATTTGTTTCTTTTTGATGTGGTTTTAACTAATAATACACAAAATGTATAGCAGATTTATATTTACAATGTTTTTAAGTTAAGAAATTGTTTATTCCAATGATATAATAAGGATAAAAACAAAGATAACACCGAAAATGAATTAAATGATATGGACATGGCCTGATGAATTTCAAAGCCATGAGGTTTAATTTTAGTAAGTCTCTGAGTTTGACTCAACAGACTTTGTTGTTGATTCTTTACATTGAAAATAAGAATTTCCTTCAAAAAATTTTACAATTTTCAAAATCATCCAATCATGATTTGGATGGATGGGTATGGGGAACTCTCTAAAGAAAGACAAAATGAAACAACATAAAATTACCCCCTCGAAGGAGCTCTGGTCAATGAATTGCTCTGAACGCTAAACTTCATCAATTTAACCATAAACACACATCTAAAGGGCAACCTGACAAAGGCCTTGACCAACGCCAAAAAGAGGGCTCAGAATGTGAATACATTTAGCAAAACTGTAGTTTCTTACAAATTCTACAGACAAGAAAGCCTCTGAAACTTAAATTCCTTCAAGATTAGTAAAATCTTGTTAAATTACAACAAATTTTTGGATTTCTAAAATAATACATGAAAAACAATCTGTACATATGCATATAGAGATGCAAGCATGCATGTATGCACATGTATCTTCTTTTTTCCCATTCTTATATATTTGATAGTTTCAGTTTCCAGTTTTCAGCGACAATGGAGATAGTTGAATGAAGGAATTTGACCTATTCCATCATAACTGATTCTGGTTTCTGTTGTTGCCCTGGATCCCTTGAAGGTGCATGGCTTTTATTTATTGCCAACTGGAAAGCCATGTTATCTACCAAGCTGGATTCCAGGCCCACAAGCTAATCAAAGCCAGGGTCTCGGGATTCAATTGTTTCTAGAACGGTTTTGTAGCTTGTGTTCCACGTGTCCTACTTCTGGTCCTCAAATTCAGCTTGCCTGGTTCTAATCTACTTAACTCTGTTATGGGATTGGATGACTCCTGAATTTACTGAGTAGACATGGTTCTCAATAACTGGGTTTTTGGTTTTCACATTGTAAAAAGACTGGAATGGCTAACATTCTAGTTTTGTTGATGTTGTTCTCTTTCTGTGTTCTTCCTATAGTATCCAGGAGATTCTTAATGTTTGCTTCAGGAATCCAGAAGAAAAAAGCCAGTGGAAATACACTAACACAGAGTGCACATACCCCATCTTTTAAGCCGAGTTCCATTACGGCATGTGTTCTCTCTTTGGCATTTTAATATCACTAGGTGTCTACCTCATCATTGCACCTAACTGATTAAAAAAATAATTCCCCATCTCTCTCCTTCCTTTCCAATTTGGGTCTATATCAATTTCTTCCAACAATTTTTTATGTAATACCTGTGAACTAGATTGATCCCCCATCTAAATTCTAATTGGCTCCAAAAAAATTATTGTCCAATTATTTTACTTTTGCTCAACATTCATCCACTGAAGAATGAATCATCTTTTCCCTTCAGCTAGTTTTTTCCCTTCAGCTAGTTTCTTCCCCTGAAACTTAATATTTTTAACAATTACCATCTCCTAATTACCCAGTTTCCAAAGCTCAGTATCATTTTTATTCTTTCCTTTGTTTCTTTTGATATACTCTATCAGATATTAGTTCTTCAAAATGTTAATGACATTTGTGCTTTTTTTCTTATGTCATTGCCACCATCCTAGTTGAGGTTATTGTCTCATGTCTTAATAGAAACAAAAGCCATTCCTTATATCTACCTAAATTTCTTAGATCTCCAAATTGGAATTTCCTGTAGTAGTGAGATATTTATTTTGTTGCCTCCTCAGTGTCTCAAAACTTTGTTAAAATAATTTCCTTAAATTATTTTAAAATTCCAAAGAATATATGCTAAATCTTAATAATAGTTATAAATAAATATGAACATATATACATACATATGTATGGAAAGCCAGATTTTTAATATGTCCTTTGTTGTAAAAGTTAAAAATAAATAAATGAACAGATCTAATCTAGCCTTTTACCATGCCACAAAGATCATGATCAATTTTGTCACTTTATACTTCAAAAAATCAGTCTACTATAGGATTATTGCCAATTTTAAGTTTTGTCTCCACGTGAAGTACTTGCAAATATTAATTATTTATATGCATAATTTAATTATATGCCTATGGCATTAAAATAAACATATCTAAGAAAGATCTATGGAGGATTTGCAAAGACGCGAATGATATGCAGTTCTGCTTTGATGTGTCCCTGCATTGGTGTGTCATTTTTATTTTAGTAAACGCATACACAGAATACCTCACTCTTGCCTTGTTCACTGTGCTTCATCAATCTTTTCATCCAATTTCCTTCCAAGGATAATTCTAACAAGACTTTGAAACTCTTGGTTACTATTTCCTCAAAAATAAATATTTTATTCCAAAATGATAAGCTCTAAGGTTGACTTGTCCAATGTAGTTTAAATCTTGAATGGTTAAATGTAGTTTAAAGAGCCCATGGCCTCAAGCTCAAATATGAATCAAATTTTCAGATATCTCTTCATTTTCCTCCTCATGAATGCCTCTAACATGAGGCTGAAGTAACTAACACAAAATTCTTGCCTCAAGTCGTAGTTCCACATCTACACTATGGTCCTCAGAAGTCTCAGTCAAACAGAATGAGCCTAAGGTGATTGTGGTTTTCTATGAAAACATATATACACTAATAGCAATGATTTCTTAAACTGGTAGTCATTGGCTTGAGGAACTCACCCTGACCTGCATTTTCATGTATTAAAAAACCAAAGGTAATAATATTTGTCCTGCCTTTCTATCGTTCATAATATTTACTATATTCCCTATCAGAACTTTCCTAAAGAAAAACAAGTTTTTCAATGTGAAAACTAAAAACTGGTATCATAGCTTTTAATCATTCTAGCTTATTTTGCTCACAGACAACATCCTCGAGTCAAATGGCATTTAACAAACCCATGTTACCAATATTTTCGGGGGTGATTCTGCATGTTGCTGGGTCCAAGATTAAATACAAGAGAAAAATTTTGCTCAGATGTAATACATTCGGTCATACATCATGTGATGTGCTAAGAAGTCTGCTATGAGAGCCTTCTACCCCTGAAAATTGTACCACCACCTATGTGCATCTCCTTTATTGCTTGATATTATATAATCTAGCATAGAAGAGATGATAAAGATCTTCTCCAGTAAACATTGTATCTTTTATTTTCTAAGTGTGTTCCATAAAGTTTTGCCACATAACAAAGGCAGAACACTTGAACCCTTCCCTCATGCTTTCATCAAATTAATCCTCATGGTGTGAGACGAAACCACTTTAGTTATCCTGAAGATATTTGTAAATGGTGAAATTAATTTTCTTAGATGGCTCATAAAAATAGGATAATTATTTTGTAGCCATATCTGGAACCCCATTTTTACAGTTTTGATGTTTATGAAGTAATATTGCTTTAATAACATTCTGATCTTCTCATGTAACATAAATTACAAGGTATACTGAAAATTATAGAAAAGTGTACATTATTTTATATCTGTATTTGTATTTCTTTATGCACATCAATGGATTATTTTTAAAAATATACATAAAGCTCAAATACTGAAACTTGGAGCCAAGACTAGTTCTTGGGTCCTTCAGCAGTTCCTCTGCAAATTTGGCATTACTCTCAGTCATGCTTGCTCCAATTACTAAATAAATACTTGAACTGTGTATTTTCATTCAACAATATTTTTTTTGCAATATCCCAGCAGATGGTGCTATTCTGCAATAAACAGCTTTTGCTTTTGTCAATAAAGTGCTATAGATGTTTAAAAAAAGGCAATGCTTTTTAAAGTGTTTTATTGCTTACCTTGTGCTGCAATTTTTACAGTCCCTTGTTTGGTTTCAGAAGCTTTTCCCGGCTCTTGGAATGAAAAAAACATAAATTACCATGAAGTATGATTTTGGAAAAATATATAAATAAAAAAGGGACAGGGGAGCACAAACACAAACGAGCATAAAAAGTGTTGCTTTTGACACGAAGAATTTTTGTTAAGACATAAACTTATTAGAGGAATTGCTGAGAATGGAGCTTACTGAAAGAAAAACATGACTGAAGCAATTTAAATCATAAGATAAAGATTCCAAACACTGTTTTGCCTCACTGTTAACTGGCCATGGAATATCACTTTGCATTTGTTGAGCATCTGAATTTGAAAATCTCAGAATTCTATTTAAATTATGTCTGTATTATCAGCCCTTTGAAATCGATGGCACATGTAGAACCAAATAAGATGACTTACTGAAGGTCCCTTAGTGACTAATGTGAGAATAAAGCCTGAAACAACCAATCCCAAGTTCAAGCCTTTGACTCTAAAATGCCCTTCCCTAAACTGCAGTGGCACCAATCACTATTAGTGTGGCCCTGGGCAAAATATATCCGAGAGAATGAGCAAGCTTCATTATGAATCTTTCTTCCCTCTTGTTCTAAGTTTTTTTTGCTATGTTTTTCTCCTTTGTTCAGAATTTTTCCTTTAAAGAAAAAGGATTTATTAAAAAAAAACTTATATGATAAACATTTAAATATACTTAATCAGAATGGGAAATAATGGGTAAATAAAAATTTCAAAAAATAACGGCTCACTTCACATTTGACTTAGTATGGTTTCTGATTGTCTTTACTGTTTTCAATTATTGAATTATTATTTAATAATGGAAAGTAAGATTGGGTCATTTGTTTTAGATATTCACTTTCATTCATTCATCCATCACATGTTTAGCAATAATTATGTGTGGACACGAAGTTAGGTGGATATGTAGTAGTTGATTCACATATATATTCAATCTTTCATTTAATTATTGTCAAATGTTGATTATAACTTGTTTAATGTTGATTTGATTTCTAATTCATGCTTTACCTCTTGTTGGTAAGATAATTATTCATTTATATATAAACATGATTATAAAAATGCTAATTTTATTTGTTGTTACATAAAATAAATATTACTTGATTCATAAATAATTCTAATTACTATAGCTATTTATTCAGAGAAAATATCTTTTGCCAAAACTGAATTCAGTCTACCCTTGATATTTACATAATTAATTTTTTTTCTGGAGGAAAACTGCATGCATGCTAGTACCATCTTTGTCAAACCTAGACTAAATGGTCTCAATTAGTAATTATATATAACTGACATTTAGTAGACAAGTATTAAATAATTGTTGACTAAAACAAATGGAAGAAAAGAAGAAAATAATATGCCCAAAAATTTCAACAAATGAGCACCATTCTGCTCAGATGTTTTACTTCTTGGAGATCTCAAAATATTAGAAAATTATACTGCAATTTGTAATTAAATTTTAAAGAAAAAGATTTTAAAATATCAGTATGTAAAGTACCTTAGAATTTGTAGAAATATTTGCAAAAATTTGCAGCCAATTTTCCTCTTATCTTCTCCTTTTTCTTTATATCCTCTTAAATCACTGATCCTAAACAACCTCATCACACCTAAGATTCTATTAGAGCACGGAGGTCACACACACCTGCAAATTATGTAGTGCTTTTCCTAGGGCCTTATCACTTCTCCCACAGACTGTTTGGTTTCTCTGTCAGCTGCTTTCTCCCTCAGCGGTCAGGTTCAGAAACATGCCCCTGAGTGCTGAGTTTTCCCATTTGAGTGTCCCAACAGGCTGGTCATCTCTCAATGGGGTTTACCTCTTTAATAACCTTAGCCTGTCCTGGGTTGGGCTGTGTGCACATAGATTGGGCATGTTTTAGGGTTCCTTATCTATGGGCTCTTCTTTCTACTAAGACTTAGTTCCCTCCCTAAGCCTTCCCTGCCCCTCATTGTCCCGCGTCCAACACATGCCAAAGAAAACAGTCCACAAATGCACACTGATGCATTGAAGATACTGTTTCCAGGTAAAAGTGTATTTTAAAGAGGTCATTCTACAATGTCTACCTGCAAAAGAAAGATTTCAATGGAGGAAAATCTCGGGATCATAGCAGTATCATGTTTGTCCCTCATAACTCCATCTATTCCTTCTCTGATTTTAAGCTTTAAAGTTCATTTATGAGGTTGGTGCAAATGCAATTGCAGTTGCACGAACCTCAATTGCGTTTTCACCCGTCTAAAATATTAGTTCACAAACTACTACATGATCTACATCTCAATAGAAATTAACAGTTTAAAACCAAATGCCTTTTCAGTAAGTCTGCCAGCTTGCATCCAACCAACAAAAATATCATCCTTGAAACTATTGAGGACACATGCAAAGAAGATCAGATTTGACATCTGCTCTTGCACAGCATTTCCATTTTCAAAATTGCATGACATTAGGGGAGGAATCGACCCTGAGTCCATACATGTACAACACAAGAAGGCTGCACCAAATATTGTACTACTGAAAACACATTAATCCAGACAGACAAATTTTCATTATAAATAATTTTTCTGTCTCCTTTTGATTTCTGCCAACTACAAAAGAAACTACATTTTTGTTAGGGAAAATTCTAAACCTATACAAAAATAAAAAAGACAGGATAATGAGCCCACCGTTTCCAACACCTACTACAGTATTTCATCTGTACTGCCTCCACTACACATATTCTAATGAAAATTTCATCATATCAAATGATTTTATCTTGTCATAGTTTTGTTTATAGCTGTGTTTTTGGAAATAAAGTACAATGACTTAAATAAAAAACAGATGACCATAACAATATTCAACTAAAGATTATAGTAATTCTGAAATTGATAAATAGTATTTTGGACTTTTAAATCAGAGACAGGATGGACCTAGATTAAAATGTCAGCATAATTCACTTGGGGGTGTTTTTTCAGGAAATTATCAGAGAAGTTAGTATTTGTAGATCCCTGAAACATGCGGTATTTATATAAACAAATTGTCATGAATCAGATGAGCCAAATGTTTCAATGTCTTCTGATTCCACAGATATGGAACAACCTGATTTACAAAACTGAAAAGATATCATTAGTCTGCAAACATTTTGTTAAAGAGCCAATTTTTGCACAGAGATTTAAATATTAGTTTAATACGATTAACTTTTCATTTCTAGGACACTGTTTATATTTTGACTTCATTTAATGTAAAGTGCAAATCCATTACATTTTCAAAAATAGGTTTCACATAACTTTAGTGGCAAATGGACTGCTACACTGTCAGCAGCCAGAATTGGTCTTTGGCTAATGGACAGCAGGTAAAGAATAATAGTATTGCTGAGAAACCTACCCACATCTTACATGTTTTTGAGCATTCTCCCATCTCTGAAAAAAAAAACAGTGTATTTATTATGTTTTAATTTTAGAATAAGTTGGTAGAGATCAATTATTACTTCAAAAGAGACAATAAACAATGTTATTCAAATACCTGAATAACATGTAAGTCTCTTACTTATAGTAACAACAAAATAAATAAGAAAGACTCCCCCCATCTGCAGTGAAGTGGCTGGCCATTAGAGAGAGGAACTGACAGGGGCAGGAGAATGAGTAGCAGCAGATGGTAAAGCAGGTAGTGGGCTCCTACCACACAGACTTTATCCTGGTTATTGACAATACCCAGCCCACTGACCTCCACAGTACAGATTTCCATTTCAATGTGAAATCATATAATTATTTACTCGTACAACTTCCCTTCCTACTACCCTATAAATTCTCTGAGATCACTGATTGATTGTCACTTATTCAACTTTATAACTCCAGACCCAACAAACTGCTGGAAAAATTGTCTCTATGAAACAGTAAGAAATGGCACAGAATATCTAACTATAAAAATGAAAAAAAATCCAATTGACTGCTTTGAAATGGAACATTAAGCTCAGGGATCTATTTCACTTTTAAGATGACGCAAAATCTCTTTTTCTCTTTGATCACTGATTATGTGTTATTCAGAAAGTGTATTAACTCTAAATTTTAGAACTAGATTTTTAGTAGAATATATGGTAACCCACATTGCAATTGGGAATTTTGTAAAATTAACTAATTTAGACAAATTTGCAAATTTTTAATTAATTTGCATGGATTTTGTTAAAAGAATAGGAGGAGAAACAAACAACAAAAAATGAAAATATTGGAATTCTACTTAAGAGCATGTTTGAGATAAACATTTTTTCAGGATTCAAATTATGAATCAAATTTATTTTATTAATCTTCCAAAGAAATGAAAACAGCTTTAAAGCTGTCTCTTGCTACTTCATCAATATTACAAGGAACTTAGACTGTTCTTATTTTCTTTTATTTCTTTTTGAAATGGTGTCTCACTCCGTCGCCCAGGCTGGCGTGCAGTGGCACGATCTTGGCTCACTGCAACCTCCGCCTCCGGAGTTCAGGCAATTCTCCTGCCTCAGCCTCCTGAGTAGCCGGGATTACAGGCGTCCGCCACTGCGCCCAGCTAATTTTTTTCTATTTTCAGTAAAGTCAGGGTTTCACCATGTTGGTCAGGCTGGTCTCGAACTGCTGACCTCGTGATTCACCTGCCTCGGCCTCCCAAAGTGCTAGGATTACAGGTGTGAGCCACCGTGCCTGGCCGACCGTTCTTATTTTCTTAGGTAAGAAAACTAAATATAGAAAAGTTGAATGGCTTTTCCACAGATCAGGAGTTAAATTCATGTTTATTAATTCAGCAGCTAAAATTTGACCCAGCATTATAAAACCTTGACCCCTCAAAATATATACATCCTTTATTTTTTGCATAAGATAGTGGAAACTAATGACAAATTATCTTGCAGTCCAAAGAGCTGCTAAATCAAATTCTAAGTTATTGTTTTCTATTCTTATAAAATCCAGTATTATTTTTAGATATAGATAGTACCAAAATAGAGAAAGGTTAACATTTAAGCTAAAAGTTGCTACATACTTGAAAGCTCTAGGCTAAGCCTCTTGTACTTATAACTCCAGGAAAGCATATTTCATGGGCATTGCTTCATTTCAGTATGATAATTACCCTATTGAGATGAAATTAATCATGAAGCAGCCTTTGGCCATCCTGTGTGACCAAGGGGACTGAAGCCTGAAAGAAGGGCCTATTTGCAGCCAGATATGCAAATTGCAAAAGGTGCACAATGCAGAAATATGAATAATGTATCAAAATAATCTGTTATTGCTAGAGGTTAAAAATCTAAATAAGTTGGCAAAATGATTTACAATAGTTAACATAATTTTGCTAGATTTTTTCCCCCAGAAAATCTTCACCTCATCAAGCCATGTATTTTTGTTTTGGAATCTAAGTAGCTTTTACCTTAATAACTTAGCATTATAGTGTTTAATTCAGAAAAAATTTGATTATTTCACGGCTACTAAAATAATCTATATTTTAATCTAAAAAAGACTATCGCTTCCATTTAACTCATCTAAGTATTTCTTAATTTGAAAAAAGAAAGAATTTGGATGCTTTTACTACATGTAGGTCAAAATCTACCTATAGATGTTACACATAAAATCAGCTTTTTCCAAAAATTAAGCATAGGAAAACAGAAAATGATTGGGAAACATCAATCAGAATAATGAGCATTTCCCCCTCATGGCATTATCTAGCTGTCTGGATAGAATGTGTGAGAATGACAAGTTTCTTAAGTAATCAACAATTTAGGGTTGAAGACCAAGGTATCAATTAATTTAAATGATTAGCAGAAGAAACTTTTTTTAACATAAAGGAAAGTTATGTGCAAGATACAGATCATTTGGCCTTTTACTCTTCAAAATATTTGCCATATTAAGGGCAGATTACATTTAGACTAAGGAAAAGGTTTATTCCATGTATCTAATAAAACAACAGAATGCAATACCATGGAAGATATGAAGTCCCATTTCTTGAGATGCCAGAGAAAGAAATACCTGTCTTAGAGGGGTCCTAGATGTTTTTGCCTAAAGCAAAGAGACAGTACCAGCTGGTCACTCAAGGTTCCTTTCTACCTTCTATAGCAACTTTCTAAAATCAGTGATTATGAACACAGATAAAAGTATTAGAAGAATTTGCCTACATCATTTTTGATGGCAAATTTCTTGATTATTTATTCATTTGTATTATTAAGACTTATCCTGGTAGTCCTCCACTACTATAAAATAAGCATTCCTTTTGCATTGATAATATTTTAAAAGCAAGCATTCTGACCAACAAATTGGAATGATTTCCTTAGGAGAAGAATACACTTTCTAGAACAGTTAGGACTCAAACACAAATGTGAATTCTACTTAGAATTTCAAGTAGAAATTTGACACTTTAGTGAAATAAATGTTATGATTTGGAAAAACTATTGCATTCTCCATATGAGTGATTAATTTATTGGGCTAGGATTGATTCAGACTCTAAGAAAAATATAGTAATGATTTTAAAAGTCAAGAGCTTATTTTAGAAAATAAGCCATTTTATTTGACATAAAGAATATGTATGTGTATATATATATATATATATATAAACACACACATACACATATACAAACATATAAAGGAAACAAAATTTCTGATTTAGCCATATTCTTCAGTTAAAATTTCAATTTTAAAAATTAAATAAGGTCTAGTTGACAGGGCCTCTAATTTTGACAGTCCCCAACATTTTTGGCACCAGGGCCTGGTTTTGTGGAAGACAGTTTATGCTCACAGGGACAGTGGGGGATGGGGGTAATGGGGGATGGTTTTGAGATGAAACTGTTTCACCTCAGATCGTCAGGCATTAGTTAGATCCTCATAGGGAGCACACAACCTAGATCCCTAGCATGAGCAATTGACAATAGGGTTCAAGCTCCTATGAGAATCTAAAGCCCCCGCTGATCTGACAGGAGATGGAGCTCAGGCTGTAATGCTCCTTTCCTGGCTGCTCACCCTCTGCTGTGCAGCCTGGTTCCTATCAGGCCACAGACCAGTACCAGGGTTTGGGGACCCGTGCTCTAATGCCCACTTTACATATAAGGTAGAGAGAGTGCTTTCCTCATTAAAGGGTGTCATAGAACAGTATGATCTAAATATAGCACTTAAAAAACCAGCCCCTTTTTTCTAATATTAGTAAGCAGTATATGTGAATATCACCATTCTGTTTTTCCTTTCCTAGAAAATAAGAAACACACACACCACTTTTATCTCCTTACCCAATTTGGAAATGTTATAAACAAACAGAATTGTGTGAATGTAGTCCTCTGAAAATATAACGTAATAAGAATAGTGGAAAGAAAAACTAAGGGCAAAGACTGGCTTTTGTGTACCTTGTATCTCTAACACAGTTCTTGGTACTGAGCAGCCATCCCGAAATGTTATTGCGTGAAAAAGTGAATAATGATTGGGAGACAAGGTGTTTGAAAAGCCCATATTATATGCCTGACAATTCTAAACCAAATATGTGGCAATTATCCTCACAAAATTACGCAGACTTCTTGAGCCCTTTTTTTCCTCTACAGTTCTATAGATGTCAAAATCTAAAGATGTTATAATCATATTCAAAGAGAATTTAAGTTTTTTGTAAAAATGGCTAGGTTTGTAAAATGCAGATTACATTGATAAATTACCATGATTTCCAAAGGGTAGACATCCTGAATGGAGAATTCTAAATCAAGCAGCCCAAGGAAGAATTCAGAGGCTATTTCTAAGCAAACGCTTTCTGGTACACTTAGTCCTCAGATTAAACAGGGGGTTAGGGGTTGAACATTATGCAATTTGATTTTAAATGAGAAAACACGTCTCCAAATAATTACTGAGGTTTGTCACTTACTCTTCTGTATTTATTGCATGAGTGCTTACTGGGAATAAGGCATCTATATTACCTAAACATAAGAATTAGTTCCACCCACAGTTTGCTTAGGAATGCTGTGTGAAAAAATGCTAAATAAAGTGTATGGTACTCTGAGTTTTAGAGATTGGCAATTTTTAAGGAGGCAGGATATAGACAAGATTTAAAGGAGGCCGGGTGTAGTGCCTCATGCCTATAATCCCAGCACTTTGGGACACCAAGGTAGGTGGATCACCTGAGGTCAGGAGTTCGAGACAGCCTACTGGCCAACATGGTGAAACCCCATCTCTACTAAAAATACAAAAATTAGCTGGGTGTGGGGGTGCTCACCTGTAATTCCAGCTACTAGGAAGGCTGAGGCAGGAGAATTGCTTGAACCCGGGAGGTGGAGGTTGCAGTGAGCCAAGATCACGCCACTGCACTCCAGCCTGGGTAACGGAGCGAGACTCCAACTCAAAAAGAAAAAAAAAAAAAAAACTAAAGGAGAGATAAGGTGTAGAGCCACAAAGGGGAAAGGGAAAGAAAGCTGCAGAGTGAATGACAATGTATCCTCCTGGAATTATGAATCAATCCAGCTGGAGCAGAAGAGTCTTGTTTGATGTTAATGAGAAGTAAAACACATGAAATAAGCAGAAGGCCATTGGCCTGAGGCTGTCTTCACATTGTGAGTTCCTACATAATGAACTGCAACCTAACTCAGTATGTAAACAAACTGAAACCTTACTTAAGAGTATGTTTTTTGTAACAGAAAACAGTCTCAGTCAATCACAAACAGCTGAGCTTCAGCCAGTCACAGGCAGCCAACTGATCAGACCACGTCCAAATAAGGCAAATGTCTAGATTTAACCAATCAAGCTATTTCTGTACTTCCCTTCAGTTTGGGCTATAACAGCACACTGTCCACCTGAGCAGAGCTCTCTGAAACACTTTAGTTTTGAATCGTGCCAGGTTTATGCATCATTTTTTGCTCAAGTAAATTGTTAAATTTAATTTGTTTAAAGGTTTTATTTTAATAAACCAAATGTTAAAGTTTGTTTAAAAGTAAATTATGGTCAAAATAATTGACCCTGAAATCTCAGCAAATAAGATAGACTTTTGTCTTAGTACATTGAGCGCTACTGCATTTTTGGGCAGGAAAGTTACACGGCAGTGTTTTGAAGAGATAAAAGTGTCCATGATTGTCTGGGAAAGGGCTTCTGTCCCTTTAGCATAGAAGCCAGGTACAATGTCACTGGAATACTCTGTGTAAGGTGATAATACCTTAGACTAAGCAAATGTTAATGGAAATGGAAAAAAAATAAGCTAGATATTTAAAAGAAGAATCTAATACAATTTTGAGATTTGTTTGACATATACAGAGAAGGAAAGAAGGCTGTTTGTTCAAATAAGACAGATTTTGGACTTGATAAACAGAATAGGTTTTAACATAATTTAACTAAAGCTTTTAACACATTTTAAGTTTGAAGCGATGGTACAAATTTAAATGAAAATATTGAGTAGACATTTGAAGAAAGGAGGGTCCTTGAAAAGATATGGAGATTCTAAAGTCATGCACATCGAAGTGTAAACTGAAATTAAGAGCGTGAACAATTTTTCCCAGAGACAGATGAACAGAAGGCTTCAGACTACCATCCTATCAAGAAATATATTAGTTAATAATCTATAAGAAAAATCCAAATGTTGATTTCAACAAGGCCAGGGAAAAGACATTTTTTTAAATGAGGCAATAAAGTTCAGGGTTAAATAAAAAGAAATAAAATTTTATATCTAAGAGATCCCTGGAAACCATTGTGGATATGGTTTTGGAATGGAAAAGAGCATAGAAGGAAGCCTACCTTTAGAGCTGTAAGGTGGACAGTAACAAAATAGAAGTGAGTGGAATCCATTCCTGTGACAAATGTGGCAGAGGCCATAGGAAAAAAAGAAACTACAAAGGGGCTTGAAGATGGCAGGAAGATCAAGCAAAGGCTTTTTTCCTGTTTTGTTTGAGGAGAATAAAGAAACACCAAATGGAGAGAAAAATATGGAAAAGTCTGGGAAATGGGAAGACAATTAGGGTAGCAAGATCCCAGAATGTGTGGGAAGAAATAAGAAAAAAGCATAGGTATAAGTATCTGCCTAGGGAGATAAAGTACATCTTAGTCTGGAAATCAAAATTCCCCTATTAAAATAGCAGGAATACACAGCTGTTTCCTAGAAGGACAGTACTCTGATCAATGATGACACCTTGCAGAGCACAAGGAAGAGGTCCAAATTTAAAAAACTCAACATAACTGAAAATAGAATTTTACTAAATAAAGAAAAGTTTTGCGAATCAAAATCAGAAATAAAAAAATACAGGAGAAAAGAGGAATTGAAAAAATGTAAGTAATACAAATAGAAAATAGTGAGATAAAAGATAGCAGTTGAAGGGAGGAAAATGGGACAAGATATTTGATATTCAAATTATTATTGAAATGATTCAGGTTTTATAATGTATATAATTGGGATACTACATGTTATTGGTGAATATTCTAATATATTAAGGTTATAGGGCAGCTTTTCCTTCTCAGACCAAAAAGAACCACTTAATAAATAGTTAAGAAATCTCTAACAAAGACAGATAAGCCACACTTGATTATTTCCTTCTTTCTGATATTGGACTCTCAATCTTCTCCTTGGACTTTCATAAACATTCATTAAAAGCAAAGCAAAAATTTGGATGAAAGGACAATTAATTTTGAAGCTATGTACTGTGATAGATGCCACATACTTGATGTCCTTTCCAACCTAATATATAAAAATATTCATTTCTGTAAACATGGAAATATGTTGTTTGTTATCTCTAAGATGTGTGGGAAAATATGCAGTTAGTATTTGAGATGTAATATCACTGAATTACTGAGCCATTTAGATTACAATCTATTTTTAACCTTTTTTAATTTTAGAGACTGTGGACTTTTTGTAATGTGTGGTGAACTATTTTTTGTTTTTTTGTGTTTTGAGAAGTTTCTGTCACCCAGGCGGGAGTGCAGTGATGAGATCTCAGGTAACTGCAACCTCCACTTCCCAAGTACAAGTAATTCTTCTGCCTCAGCCTCCCAAGTAGCTGGGATTACAGGCGTGCACCACCACACCTGGCTAATTCTATTAAATAGAGATGGGGTTTCTGCCACGTTGGCCAGGTTTGTTTCGAACTCTTGACCTCAGGTGATCCACTCGCCTCAGCTTCCCAAAGCGCTGGGATTACAGGCGTGAGCCACTGCGCCTCCCATGGACTGTTCTTTAGTTCACGTTTGTGTCATGGTTCTAAGAGTTCAAATGCTTTAACTGTCAGCTCACATGCTAATGCTCTAGATAAATAAATGGGCTTCTCAATATTGGCTTCCCTAAAAGGGAATTTCACCACTTCATTCTCTCCTTTATCAGTGTTAAAAGGAATTATGCACAGCTCTGAGGAACAGTAGTCCCCAATGTTAGGCATGCAGATCTAAACTTAAATTGGTATTTAGCTGGCAGCCTAGTGGTTCTCATAATATTAATACAAGCTAAGGTTACTGAATATTGACATTGCTTCTGGAGCCCACATCTTCACGTATTGCAGCAAATGTATCACTTTCTCTGGAGAACTATTCTGTAAAGCATAATGTGTTTCTTTAGCAGTCAACCTAGAGGTTGCCTTTAACCATTGAATATTCAAAATCCATGCTTATATGCACAAATACCATATTGAGTCAATATTCAAATGCTGGAGCAATGTGCATAGAAGTGTTTGAGAGCAAGTGAGTAAATGCTAGTACAAAAAAACAATTTCCCACATACTGTGGTAAAAGGCAAGTTATTGGTCTTCTAACAAATGGCTCAACTGAAATCTACTTTTACAGCTACTAGGCTTTCCAGTTAGCCCATCTCCATCATCTCAAGATGGTCTGAATTCCAACTAACCCATCTGAAGGCAGTAGAAATTTTTATAAATATGAACTATACGCTGAGTTTTAAAATTAAAGAGTTTGGAAAATTCATTTAAGAATAAAATGTTACAATGTATTCTTCTGTGGATTACATTTTTGAAGACTTTAGCATCAACAAGAAATCTCAGAGGCAAACACAATTGGTTTCTGTATTACATGACGAGGCCGGAAATGGCTAAAGGAAGGGTGCAGTAGAGGTTACCGTGATAAATTCTCAGACCAAAAAGTTTAGTAATTCTCATCTTTCAACCAGGCTCACATTATGATGTAAAATTTAAAAAGTCAATTTAATTTAAAAAACAAATAACTGCAAATTTTTTTTAATCAAAGGAGGAATATACCTTTCACCAATGGCCCCATACTAATTGTAATCCTCATGGGTACCTAATCCAATACTTCAAGTACTACAAGCAGAGAACACTCATTAGATTACTTACACTAAGAAAAATCTCCCATCTCTTGAAAAGCAAATGGAAGCTTAACGATAGTCCCTCAGTATTTTGTGCTATAATGTTTTATAGTTCATATTTAATTTATCTTGAGACCATATTTGACTCCAAGTAATAGCTAAAATATGTCTACTCAAATTTCTAAAAAACTGCATTGATTCTTCATCCTTCATTTGTTGAATTTTCTAGAAAACCAGATAAGCACAAATGCACAGATTAAAATTTTAGTCAGAAACATTTTTAAGCCAAGTAAAAGCCAAAATAGAATGATGTAGGACCAAAGAAAACTAAAACCTATAAATATTCTGAATGTTATTTTCAACAAAAATAAATTTCACAAACATCAAGATTGTATACCACATTAAATTCAGAAAGTATCTCCAATATACTGAAAAGCTCACTCTACACTATTATTTGAATAAAAAGTTAAATTTTTAAACACAGTGTTTAAAAAGTCTTTGCATTAATTACTGCACTTGATCTGTATCATTACTTTGTAAGATAGGCCACTAGGCCTGGACTAAACTGCAAGCATTCTGACCCTAGCCCAGCATGTTGTCAATATAACAAGAATTACCACTTCTCTTCAAAATAATGCCATTTTTCCTTGCAATTTTAAACTATAAATTTTAATATAAAGCTTAAAACTTTATATTATGTAATATATAATATTAAATTTTATTTTCCGTCATATGCATGTATATAAAATGAAAAGCCAATATAATTTCTAAAAGGTTTTGCTGTGACTCATTGTGATAGCCATATATAAACATAGGAAAATCTTTTACATAAATGTCTCTGCCTTTAAAATAAAATAACAACAATGGCAATTATAACAGCTAATTTCTATACAGCAAATTTATAGAAAATCCTATATTGTTTTACTTAAGAAGAGAAAGTATTATTTCACATAACAGGAAGTCCAACATAGAAGGGTTTCAAGGTTTACTGATTCAAAAACAAAAATTGTCGTCTTTATCTCTGTGCTCTCCCCTTGCTCCAAGCCTGGTGGGTTGGCTGGTAGGGTAATCAATTTCAGGGGCTTCAGTAGAGTAGGAAAAAGAGAAAAGAAACCCACAATACCTTCCCACCTTCAGGCTCCAAGCTCAGGGTGCTTGCTGAGAGGGCCCAAGCTTAGGTGGGGGTGGGGTGGGGGAAATTTTTATTTGAATGAAAGTTGGGAGCTTTGATAATATACTGGATTGGATGTCTTGAAAAAAGACACCATTGTTTTATTATCTGAGTTGAGCATGACCGGGCAAGCTATAGTGTCTGTTCCTGATTTCACCCAAGGGGTGAAGAGAAGCAAGTCTACAGAGTGGGTTTGCATTGGTAGTTACAGAAAGAATAAAGTTGCTTTCTGCTTATACCAACCAAACCGAACGAAACATGTTTTATTAACTCTGTGCATACAGAAACAGAGTCAGGGCTCTTCCCCATGCCCTTACTTGTCTTGTTCTACTTTTCTCTTTTTCTTCACAGTCAACCACTTTTTACCCTCCAAAGTAAATACTATCATTTCTTGGAAACTTTTCTGATCCTCGTAGTGCAATTGTTTTCTCCCTCCTTGGGGCCAACATAGTGCTTCACCAGGACTTTCTTAAGGCATCTGTCCCTTTCTATGCTTGCTTTTGCTGTTCAGAGACATGTTTCTATCTCTCCTCCTAAGCTGCACACTCCCATAAAATTCCCATATGCATCTTGTTTTTTTCTTTTGGCTCATGGCACCCTCTCTGTGACTATGGACAATACATACTCTTTCTCTTTTTTTTGTATAAATAATGAACTAAAGGAATAAGTCCCTTGAATAAAAAATGTTTATTATTTTGAAGGATCAAACAGCAAGGGAAAAAAGCATGGCAATATTTTTTTTTGTAAAAATTAATCTTAAGGAAGGTAAAAGTAAGGTCTCTGCCTTTTATAATTGCTTGATTCAAAATTGTTATAAACCTTGAAAATTATAGCAAAACATGAAACACTTTTGTAATAAGAAATTATTTTTCCACAAAGACCTCACCACAATAAACCACCTAGGAAGTAGCAATATTGTAAACACATTAAGAGCATAAGTCCTAGAGGTGCCTGGTCTGGGTTTAAATCTTGCTCCACCAATTTCTAATTGTGTGGCATTGGTGAATCATTCAACAGCTCTCTTCCTCAGTTTCCCAAATATGGCTTTAAAATGTATTAACAATGGTACCTGGTTTTATGCTGGTACTAATCAGTACATTGAAATACAATGAATGAATGCATTGAAAATGCTTATAGGAGGTCCTGGCAAATAGTAAGTATTCAATACCATGTGTTTAGTGCTATTTATCTTGTTCATCCCAACACTGTGCTCACAATACTTCATCATCAAAATCTCTGAATTTCATTGAAGCATCTCACTATACATGGTACTAATTAAGCACTTGAATAAGGTCATATTTTATATTTTCTAATATAAAGTACAAAATTCTCATACCTATGTCTTAGAGAAGTAACTTGACAATAATTGTTTTGGGCCAGGCACGGTGGCTCATGCCTGTAATCCCAACACTTTGGGAGGCCGAGGTGGGTGGATCACCTGAGGTCAGGAGTTTGAGACCAGCCTGGTCAACATGGAGAAACCCTGTCTCTACTAAAAATACAAAAATTAGCTGGGCAAGGTGGCGGGCACCTGTAATCCCAGCTACTCAGGAGGCTGAGGCAGGAGAATTGCTTGAACCCAGGACGCAGAGGTTGCAGTGAGCAGAGATCGCGCCATTGCACTCCAGCCTGGGGGACAAGAGTGAGACTTTTTCTCAAAAAAAAAAAAAAGAATTGTTTGGCAACATACGTATATAAATTAATTTCCATACTCGACCGTCCCAGAAGTACCCATTCGAATTCCTTGTTTAAATTTACATGGAAGAGCATATCTTTAAGAGTAATAATCTCTGACAAGAAAAATCATTTTACGAGTGATATATAGCACTTTAAAGTGGAACCCATAGAATACTAGTCCAGATAGATGCTCTTCTCCACAAAAGCAGCTCAGGGTCAAATAACACTGGAGAGCACTGCATACAAAATGTTACCCTCCTAAGACTTTACAATATACTTAACATATACCAGACTGAAATTCTGCAGTAGAGAAACCAATCTAAGTTAGGGCACTGATTCCTAAACATATGTGATGATAGAACTTTTCTTTAATGCAACACTCATTAATGAGGAACATAGACTGGGTGATGTTACTCCTGGAAATGGAAATAATAAGTATTCCTTGCTTCTCTTTCACACTAACTACAATAATAATATCATATAGTCACTTAGTGATTTATTTAACAGATGTGTCTTGAAAACCTATAAAGTTCACAGTACTTATGTAGAATATTTACAGTTTACAAGGCTCTTTGACATATATTCTTCAATTTAGCCCACAAAATGGGTAGTAGTCAGCAACACAGCTTTCACAGATTCTCAAAAGCAATATGGATTAGTGAAAAGAACATAAATATTGCAGTCAGAAAGGTCACGCTTTGAATCTTGGCTTTGCCATTTCATATTTTCCTTGAGCATGCTTAAGTTTTCAAAGGCTCATATTGCTGTGAGGATTAAATGAGGTGACATATGTAAAGTACCAACCATAATACTTTGAACATAATAGCCACTTGCAAAGGTATTCATTCTTCCTACTTTTGAATGTTAGCAAAGAAACAGATTCTTCTGCTTATGTATTGCAGTTATTAATTCTCCTTAATTTTGAACACAAGCATGACATTCACTTCACAAAATGTGCCTTGCTCTGTCAGTTAAAACAGATAATGTAATTTACACACACACACACACACACACACACCCAAAACTCAGAGTCTAGTGAGAAACAAATACTCAGTATTGTATGCCATGTGCTATTATAAGGGATAGAGATTTTATGAAATTCATTGAAACAAGACACCTGTCCATCCAGAAGACCAGTAAGGGGTGATATTTTATGAAAGTAACAACTGGTATTCAAACAAAGGGGAGGTGGAGAGAGGAGGATAAGGATTTGAACAAAGAAGGCTCTGAAATAATCATAATTGTAAGAGAGAGTGGGTTGACTTTAAACAATTGGATGGACTTTTATATGGATGGAGCAAAGGGCGATGAAAGAGTTATCAAGAGATGAAGCCAGAGAAAGATCAGGAAAGACATTGAAACTCTTCAATTAAGACTTTATCCTAGGGACAAAGTAAAGCTTTGGCAGGTTTAAGTGGAGAGTGAAATAATCAGACATGCCGTCAGTGAAATCATTGATGCAGAATATTTGGTGTAAAGTACATATTGTGAAGGAGGATACAGTACTGCTCCAGACTAGAGTAATGATGACCTGAACTAAGACAAAGGCTGCGGAGTCCAAGAGCTGTGGGCAGATATAAGAGATCAAATTGGTAAGACATTTCTATGCCCAATCACATAAAGTAAAACAGAACACCATGCATTTTCTCCCCTTTTGCAAGCACCTAGCATCAGGACAATAAAATATTACTCACTGCACTCACAAAAATTACCAAATAGTTTACAGCAAAACAAAAAGTGATCAACGAAGAAACAAAATGAACCAAAATGTAATGTTAATCATTTCTATAACATTTATTGTATTTTCTCTTCACTTATTGAAACTAAAAGTATTTTAAGTATATATTTATTGTGTATCCACAATAAGTGACTAGGGAATTTATGACAGCAACAGCAACAAATAAACATAGGGTCAGTGAAAATACATGTGGTATTAATTAAATGTACAGTGATTTATACACAGTTTTACTAAAATGATAGTGGATTACATCACTGTTTATACATATCTGGACATCACAAATATTAGTATTTAAGAGTCAGCTTTGAGGGTGAAATAGAATGTGTAATTAAAAGGAAGACAGAGATGAAAGTCTGAATCTTTCCAAAGGTTGTAGCCTTTATTTCTGTCCCTTAGTGTGTTAATATATTTCTAAATTTTGCTTCACAAATACATAACAAAATGACACCTATTGATTGCCAACATACATCAGCAGTGTGCTAGGCATTTTGAAAATTATTATACCCAATACTAATATAATGAACGGCCAAATTTGATATTTACAAGCAGAAGAGTGCCTGGTGTGTAGCTGTTATTCAATAAGTTTTGTTACATGTATGAATAACTTTCTTTCTTTTTTTTTTTTTTTGAGTCAGAGTCTCGCTCTGTTGCCCAGGCTGGAGTGCAGTGGTGGGATATCGGCTCACTGCAACCTCCACCTCCTGGGTTCAAGCGATTATCCAACCTCAGCCTCACGAGTAGCTGGGGTTACAGGTGCCCGCCACCACGCCCAGCTAATTTTTGTATTTTTAGTAGAGACGAGCTTTCTCCGTGTTGGCAGGGCGGGTCTCGAACTCCTGACCTCATGATCCGCCTGCCTCGGCTTCCCAAAATGCTGGGATTAGAAGCATGAGCCACCGCACCCAGCCTGAATAACTACTTTCTAAGGAAGATTGATTATGGCAAATAAAGGGTCCTTCAAGCAACAGGATGAGTGTGAATATCAAAAGGAGAGTTTGCGAATAGAGGCTGAAGAGAACTGAATTGCTTTGTATGACCTAGTTGGAAAGTTTGGAATTTCTGGGGGAAATCCAAAACTCAGGATGTGAGAACAAGCTATGGCAGAAGGAAGGCACCAAAGAGGAGTCAGAGAGATGACGTGCAGTGGGAGGGAACCTGGGAAAGGGCAGTGAAGAGTAGCCTGAGGATATTAAATAGCAAAGATACCCAATACTTAATCTGTATTTATTAATATTGCCACATAGTAAGAACTTTCCCCATCCCCTCTACCATCTGCAGGTATCTTTTTAAAAAAATTCTATGCTTTGCACAACTGGTTTCTGAAAATGGATTTTATGGAAACTAAAGAAAAGTGCTTTTATGGAAAAAAACAAAAGGCCAGCATACAGAGAATTAAGAAGCCAGTCCATGAGCTGAACCAAGTAAGTAAGAGCAGAACTCACAGAGAGAAGTGATCTAGGGCATGTAAACCTTAGCAACATTTAAGAAAACATGGGAAGGATTTGGGACTTTTAAAGAGTATAGGTATATTAGAGACAGTTTTTACCAGCTTATGAGACCAGATAGTTAAATTTTCAGAAATCCTTCTGGCTGGTTAATTTCATGTTGTTAGCTTCAAATTGGCCTTGGTGGAATTACGTACACCACGGAAATCAGCAAACACTATAACGCAGTACTATTTTTATCTCCCCAAAATATAGCTAACCAGCACACCATGGAATCTTATGTAGTTATTAGACGAACACAGGACCTGAACCTTGCCTTAACTAAAACCACAATTTACTTCCCAAGTCTATATTATTGGAAAACAAGGGAAATGGGTGGGAGCTGGGGAGAACATGGTAAATTTAAAGATTAGGCAGTGCTGTCCAATATGGCAGCCAATAACTGTATTAAGCTGTTTAAATGCAAAATTAAATAATTTAAAGTTAAATAAAACTGAAAATTTGACTTCTCAATAACTAGTCATATTTCAACAGCTAAAGAGCCACCTGTGGCTAGTGGCTGCCACATGCAACAGTACAGACATAAGATATTTCTACCAATATAGGAAGTTTAATTGGATAGTGCTGGAAGACCATCATCACATTTTAAGAAATGTCCTATTTTTCTTCCTAGATTTAGAATTTCATTGTGGTATAGCTGCCTGGTGAGATTATGAATACTCTTCTGGGTCTCTTAATGTTCTGTAAGCAAGATGCCTGATCATCATTGGTTACATCTCTTTATCAACAGACTGTAGGCTCAGCTGGGAACTTACCAAACTCGGATATGTAGCTTTTAGTAACTTCTATGAATAAATATTTTGTGGTAAAAAGTTTAAAAATTAACTAAAACAATATCAATTTTTAAAAAAATTCTAAATAATAATGGTAAATCCTAAAACGACCAGAATAATTCTCATCATGTGATAAAATCATAAGAAAAAAATAAAGAAAAATTATGTTCGGTTCATTAGTAACTAGCTAATTTAGACCTTGACAGCTTCCAGCAGATTGGAATCCCCAAAAAATATCTAAAATGTTCAATAATTCTCTGTGTTCAAACATAGAACTAAACATGATTACTTAAGGAGGAATGTGGTGGACAATGAAAAAATCACATTAAAAAGAAAATAGCATGGAGAAAACGAGGGAAAAGCAATATAAGAAATCAAGATATCATAGTACTTCTTGATTTGAAAAGTTAACACTCTTTAGAAAGTTTGGAATCCATGTAATGTGATTCTGTGAAAAGGTCATTTAATGGTTTCATCTTTCTGTTCTCAACAAATTCCCAGTGTTGGGGCAACAGTAGCAGTAATGCCAATGACATCAGCATCTCAGTCTCTCAGTCTGAATCTTGGACTCAATGTCCTGTGATTGCTCCCAAAACAATTATCAAAAACACTTCAATTTCAGAGACTTTTATATGTCTGGACTTTCTGGCATCAAACAATCAAATTGTTACTTTAATTAGAATTACATCTGAAATCACACCTTGGTGAAATACCAGAAAGTACTGGTTATAAAAAATAATTAAAATGGTGTTTCTAAAGGGTGTAGAATTGACCATTACTCAAAATTACTTAGGAGTATTTTAAGCACTTAAGGTGAAGCTTTGGTTCTTTATAGTGAGCTTGAATTGATGACTTCATAGCCTGATAAAAGTGAATTCTCCAGGAATAAATAGGGCATTGTAAGAAAAAGCACTTGACAAGAGAAAGAGTGGTGTTTAATACAGCCAGTTGGCAAGTGAATATAGTTTCCCAAAAGGCATTCTTGAAGGTATTTTTTCACATAAAATTGTAACAAATTTCATTGGCTTTGAAGATGTGCTTGCCTATTATAACAGACATGTCAAAAACCATTGACAAATCATGAATAGGCTTCTTACAGATAAAGAGATAGTCAACAGTGTCAAATGCAAAATCTTTTTAGTAATGACTAAATCCAGAGACTCTCAGAAGAGGATGAAGCCCCCTACTCACCATTAGACATCTCTACCAGATTAAGAGTTATCCATTACTAAGTGTTGGTTAGTAAAGGTTCAAGGGGTAACTAGTTTTCTCTTGCATTCAGCCCATTTTCTTACCTTTTAATCACACATCAGAAGGCACCTTTTCAAATGCTTTGCTACACATGCATCAAGCCTGCACAATTTCTCTGATCTTCAAGTTCGCTATCTGATGAAGAATTAAGGTTAATTTTACATGACTTCTTTAATTTTGATGAACCTATGCCACATCTTTGCATTTAGCATTCCTTTAAGTTCCAATTAATAATACTTTCCGAAATATTGATCAAGGTTAACCTTAAGGTTACTAAATCCTTTCTATTGAGATTTTTTTAAAAAAATTCTAGAAACCACTGAAATGTCATTAAAACACAGAATAAGTGTTACCTCATGTTTAACGAGAACGTACTCCATAGGATATATAGAAATATGTGAGTTATAGGAATTTTCACATTGCCATGATATTCTGAGATTCATTGCTTGAGGGAGGCTGTCCATGGAATATATTGGATATTAGTAAGCAGTTGACATTGTCCTAGAGTTCATTTGATAAATAACAAATGCATATATACAAATATCAGCTTTTCTTTCAGTCAGGAAAAATCAAATCTTTTATTCTGTATGTTGTGGAGGTTTTAGCTGAATAGAAAATATATGTGTAATAATAAAGAGTTCCCAATCAAGAACTTGGAAGCAGGAAAATGGAATTGCCATTCTGAGAGTTAAGTCTTAAAACACACATTACATTTTAGGGGAAAAACCACTATATGCAAATTTAGTGATTCGCATAATAGTTTTGCCAAAATTTCTCTCTTTAAGTATTCTGCTCACAATTAGTAATATAAGAATCTTTTGATTATTGCTGGAAAATGAGTACCCTAGGATTATTACTGATTTCATTCTCCTAGGTAAAAATGTAATGATAATACAATTTTGAATATCGTTTCAGTTTTACTTACATCTATATACAGAAACTTTAACATATCAAATTTTATTAAATAATTACATGAATAAGAAGTAAAACTAGATAATATTTATATTTAAGGAGTCCTTTCTAATTCATTCATTCAGCAAATATTAATTGAGCATCTACTCTGTGCCAGATGCCACTCTAGGCTCTGTGAACACAATTATTAAACACTCAGAGGCTTGTCCTTTTGTAGCTTTGCATACTTCTTGGTAATATAAATGTATGATGGATATTTCAGAACAGTGCTTACTACAAATAAGGAATTCAACTAAATGCTTATTGAGTGATCAGGCTGAACTATCCTTACAAACTAGTTACTTATTTATATTTAATTTTCCCATGAGACATGATTTGACCTTTAGCTTATCAAATGCTACATACCAAACACATACAAATTATAAAAATATTTACCATGTATTGGATACTTGTAATATTCCAAGTACTGGGCTAGACAGCTTACCTAGATTTTCTCATTTAACCTTGACAAGATCGCTGTAACGTTAGAACCATTAGAGTCTTTCCAGAGAAGGAAACTAAGGCTCATCCATAGAACTTGCAGGTGACTGAGGCAAGGCTCAAAGCCAGACAGTCTAAGCAGGTAGCCCTTAAGATAAACACCCATGTAATGTTAAAACATAGTTCTTTCTATCCCATATGTAAATTTATATTTATTAGGCAAACACTATATAAAAATAGTAAGTGTACTAGCCAAATAATCATAACCACAAATATCACAATAAAAAGAAAATGATGTGGTCTCTCTCTGGATTCAAGAATACTACTGTTGTAGAGACCTAAGAAAGAAGACCTAATAAAGGTCAATGGTACCTCAGTGATAAGTAGACATTAGGCTAATTTCAATTTAATAGCAATTTATTTATTCCCTACTATGTGAACTGCATTGCATATACTGTATAGACAAAAATAACTACTGGGCTAAACTAAAAGATTCCTCAAAGCACAGAACAACATCAGCGAATACTTTAGTCGAGTTTCCATATTCTAGTTTTATATGTGCTCAATAGACATATTTACCTAGGAGGATAAGTATTATTGAAAGTTTTAGCACTGCTGGGCCTAAATGTTTTTGGTTTTGCAAATACTCCAGGATGGAGTATGACGTTCACAACTACGACCACCAGATGGCACTAGTCTTATCCTTTTCTGAAGAGAATTTCATATGCAAAATTCAGTGACAGCAGTGTCACTAAAGTTAAGGGGACAGAGCAAGAGGCAACTAAACAAATTTTCCAGCCAACAAAACACACGAGAAATGTGTTTATGTTAATTCTAATTGTTTTCACTTTTATAATTGCTTAAAATGATCTGTACTCAGGCCCTTTGAAAGCATCAGACCTCACTCAGGATAATATCTTTTGTGATCCAGATCTCCACAACTCGGTTAACTTCACCTCCTACCACCTGCTCCTCACTCATGCTATTCTATTCCACTGCTTCTTTTCCTGTTCCCTGATCATTGGGGTTTTTGCATTTCTTCTGTGTGAAGGTTGCATTTTTACTGTATGAAACTATTTTCACAAATGTGTGTGCAGCTCACTCCTTTCTTCATCCAAGTCTCTGTTCAGATAGCATCTCCTTAGACAGCCCTTCCCAGACCACCCAGTGAAAACACAGCACCTTCCATATTCTCTATCCACTTGCCCTCTCAATTCTTCATAGCAAGTATCATTCTCGGATATCATACTACATGCCCTTTATGATTTGTCTCCTTCACTGGACTATGAAGTTCTATAAATGCAAAAACTTTGTCTCCTTGTCACCATTATTCTTTTCCTCTTTTTTTCTTTTTTTTTAGTTGACAGAGTCTTGCTCTGTTGCACTCAGGCTGGAGTGCAGCGGCATAATCTCAGCTCGCTGAAACCTCCGTCTCCCGGGTCCAAGCGATTCTCTCGCCTCAGTTTCTCAAGTAGCTAGGATTACAGGCATCTGCCACCAAGCCTAGCTAATTTTTTGTATTTTTAATAGAGATGGGGCTTCACCATATTGGCCAGGCTGGACTTGAGCTCCTGACCTTAGGTGATCCACCTGCCTCCGTCTCCCAAAGTTGTGGGATTACAGGCGTGAGCCACCACGCCCAGCCACCATTATTCTTTAGTACCCAGAAAAGCATCTTTCTAATGAAAGGACTCAATAAGTGAACAAATGAATTAATGAAGGAATACCTAAGGAGAATAAGAGAATCATTAAGTCTATACAAATCATTTCTCAAGAATGAGGATTTGCATACCACCAAGGTCACTCTCAGTCCTGCATCTCCCTTTATATCTGTCTCATAAAATTATTATGTTATGATCTCTCCAAATTTGAAATTTTCTAAATTAATTTGAGGGAAGCATATTAAGTCTACCTTTCAGATTCAGGTATTATTGGCCTAAAATCCTACAATATAAAATTTTTTGATCCCTATTACCAAAATCACAGAGTGCAATTTGGTTTTACTTTCAGCTAACTGAGATAGGAATGGCTTTCCGTGTTCAGTTCCAGGGATACAAATTATTCTTTATATTCTAATGCAGGAAGACTGGTAGCAATGTATATAAATAACATTATAAAGGGCTATTTCTGTGATTGTTTTGAAGATCAGAAATATGGTCAAAGGGGCTCTTTCAATGCCTTTATAAAGCGAAATCACAAAGGTCAGCCAATGAGAAGAGAAAAGAGGTTTCTTTTTTCCTCATTCCCCCACGTATCCTTGCCCTTTTGTACTGTAAATTGCACAAGCTGGCATTTAAATGCACAATGTCAAAGGCAGAGCACATGCATTCAACCTGTGCAAAAAGACAGCTGGCTAGGGGCAGAAAGAGAAAAATACTGCCCTAAAGCCTTCAGGGCCAAGCTGCCAATGATACATCCCATCTCTCCGGTTTCTCATATCACAGTATTTGCCCTGTGGACAAAGAAGAAGTAGCCAAAGGAGCACTTTCCTTCTGACAGAGCAGAGCAGCTATATTCCACCTCTGAGACCAATAACCCCTCCTAGCTGCTTTTGTTAAGCAAAGACACCAGGGATGATGATCTGAACCATTTCAGCCCTTAAATCACGTTTGTAACAGTGGCTATTTTTGTCAAGGGCTAACTCCACATTTTGCTTATTTGGCTCTCACAATTAAAATTACTCATCCAGGACTGGGTAAGTATAACACACAAATGAAAGTGGGATTCAGACACTAATAAGAACATGCTGTAATAATTTTGACCCAGAGGTAGCTTGTCATAATAGGTAGGGTAAGTGTGACCGTTATTTCCCTGGTTTAGGAATACACACCAGCTGGCAAGGAAGGGTGGATGTTCGCACTGTTGCCCTCCAGCAACTCAGTAGGAAAAAGACTAAAAAAATCCATTTGTGCTCACATCATCAAATACGTCTTCAGCTGTTGTTTCATGCTGTGTGTGTGTGTATGTGTGTGTGTGTGTGGTTAAACTAAGCAGCTGAAAAGCAAGTTACTGAATCAAGTAGTTGCTAAATCCAAACTTTTTTTAATGTTTTGATTTAGAAATAAAAATTCAGGACCATCTACCTAAGTTTCCATTCTTTCTTTTTTCCTGCTCCAACATAGGCAATGATACCATACAACATACTTTCATCCCAAACACTGGCACCCTAAAAGCAGTGATTTTCCAAAAGAACAAGTACCTCTTCACTCACCCTCAGCTCCCATGGAGGTAGGTGGCTACAAGAATCTCAGAATCTTGTTATAGTTTGACAAAGTCTCATACTTTGAGACTTTGCAAGGTACTCTTTCCTCTACACTCAACCCCCAACCCCAACATAAAGCCACTGACTCCATTCCATCTTCTCGGTTTATAAAGAAAAAGCAGAAGCCTGAAACGATGAGGGTTGTGCATCCAGTGGCAGGGTTAGACCTCAGGTCCAAGCTCCCGACTCCCAGCAAAGCATTCTGTTTCACTGCTCATGGCTGCTTTTTTTATGAGCCTTGATGAGTGTTTTGCTTACCTGGCAGAAGAGAATCACCCAAGGATCATTTTTAAAATACAGTTGTCTTTCTTATCCTTGCACCAGGACGACTGAATCATAATCGCTGATGGGAAGAGAGATTCTGGTATTCTAAACCTCTAGAGATGCTGTTTCAAGATGAGCAGGTCTATCTATGTGAACCTACTCCCAAAGGCCATGGGAGCTGAGAGGCTAAAAAAAGAAACTGATAGATCCAGTTTCTCTGAAAGAAGCATTTCCTAGGGATTTACAAGCAGAAGCCATGTCTCGGGTAGCTGAGAGGTGGTGGATCCCCGCACTGTTAACCCCCAGAGCCAGGGCTTCTATACCATAGAGAAAGGGTATAGATGTTTCAGAAGGAATTTGCCTATAAGCAGGATTTATGGTAAGTACTTGAAAATAGAAATCTGAGAGGAACTGGGGTTAAGCAGAAGTCAGCATAGTGAATTAGTTTCCATGATGGAGTTGCTTTAGCCTTTACACATGCATAATTTTTTAAAATTTATTTTTTGTTTTAGAGACAGGGTCTCACTCTGGCACCTAGGCTGGAGTACAGTGGTGTGATAACTTACTGCAGCCTCTATTTCCTGGGTTCAAATGATGCCCCTGCCTCAGCCTCCAAAGTAGCTAGGACTACAGGCATGTGCCACAGCCCCAGGTTAATTTTTTAATTGTTTATAGACAGGGGGCGGGTCTCACTATGTTGCCCAGGCTGGTCTCAAACTCCTAGTCTCAAGTGATCTTTTCACCTTGGTCTCCCACAGCACTCGCAAATACATAATTTTAAAAGCTTCTGAGATGGAGCACAATCATCCACACTGGACATCTCTGAGAATAAAAGAAAGTGTGATGAATAATTATGTCAATGCTACAGGAGAAAACTGGTGTGTATGTCACCTTAACCTTGGGTGATACTACTGAGTACCTCCTGCCTCCCAAGTGCTAATGGTCATTGAAACTTTGACAATCGTTTTAGAATCAGAGAAAACAGATTTCAAGTCCTAATTCCTTCCTACATCAGCAGTAGAAATTTTTACTCTCGAAAACAAATGAATGTGTGCACTTCTGTGAAATGAGGGTGACAATTTTCATCAGTTTTTCGTCAGTACCCAGTGGAGTGATTGAAACCTTGTAAACAAAAGTGAATATTGACACAAATGGTCAAACCACAGGAAAAAGGGGATCCTGAAGTTTTAAGGAGTTAATGCAAGCAAAGTGCTCGTAATTTAATAGGTGGACAATAAATGTAAGTTCCTTTTCCACTTAGGGCTTTAATAAACAAAATTACAATCATCTTAAATGATCTAATTGCTATTTTTGCTATTTTTGGATAGAAATCATTTTAAAAGCTTATTTTATAAAGCTGTAAGAAAACAAATGACTTTCATAAAGTTTAGAAATGACTGTCCTCTGACATGCACTAGTGGTAAAAGATGGCAGCTGAAATACAAGCAGCCTTTCAAATGCTCTTTCTGGTTCTACTGTTTTCCTGGCAGAGATGCAAGGATTTTTTTAAAAAAAAAACAGCAAAACTGTCTATTATTCTCTCAAAACAATTAACACAAAAACTTTTGAATTCAGTGAAGGTCAGAGGATTAATAGGTTTTATCTGCAATGTGTTTGAAAAGCTAATTAAGACTCCACATACAGCAGAGGAGACTGGGAATACAATATTTAGTTTTTCTCTACATGACCACAGTGAGCAAAAGTGAATAAAGACAAAGTAAATGCAGAAATTCACAGATGGGAGGCAAATCCTTTTTGAAGGATATAAAACTAAAAATACATCTCATGTGATGGAAGATGCTTCCTTTGTTTATTCAATGGGTGGATTCAGCATCTGCTTCATACTGGCATTATACTAGGTGCTAGATACTCAGTGTCGAAAAAAACAGAATGGACTCACTTTTTTTTCTCTAGCCTAAAGATTACTTAAGTAACAAAGGAACCACATTATAAATTAATGGAAAAAATTTTTAATTGTTGTTAAATGCCAAAAGGAAAATGGTTTTTGGGTTCCCCAAAATATTGTTTAACAACAACTGAACCAGCCAACTGAAGTGCTCATATGAAAACAGTATGTTTTTAAAAAGTCATCATGACAGAACGGTATCTATTTCCCTCTGATTCTTTCTTTTTTCTAACAACATTCTTCTTCCAGTTAAAAGAGAGGAAACAGCAGAGATCACAAAATTCTCTGAGGAAATTTATCTGCTAAAAAGCCATTTAAATAAATACTGATACATGTTTTCTTTTCCTTCCTTAGAAGCTCAGTTGCTATATACTGGGTGAATTTCCTTTATAATGCTTTCCGTGGCTCTCTCCTCTCAATCTGCCACGTTGGATTAGGCCCTCCTTACCTGTCACCAGCATTGTTGTAATTGACTTGAGCTCTGTAATATTTATTGATATAACTTTCTAACTACTATTTCTCTTGGTCTCTTGCCTTTGACAGTATATTGGCAGATTAATACTTTTTAGGCAAAGATATGATTTTGTCAATCTGTTTCCTTTACACATTTACCTGTCAAATGAAGTGTAAATTATCCAGTTGTGCCCACAAACTTAATTATATCAGCTACCTGATAGGAATATCAGGATCTTTCTTCCCAATTTCATTTCCCACTGTCTCTGCTGTTCTCTCTTCATACTCGACCTGAACTTTTCCTCATCCTCTTCCCACCTAACCTCTTTTGACTTTTTCAGGAGGACTCAGCCATAGAAGTAATTATATACAGATGGCCAACTCTGCATCAATAGGCTTTGCATAGGTGAGCGCCACCATTTTTTGCAGATCAGGAATATTTGGGGCCAGGTGCAGTGGCTCCTACCTATAATCCTAGAACTTTGGAAGGTGTAGGCAGGAGACCTGCTTAAGTTTAGGAGTTTGATACCAGCCTGGTCAACAGAGTGAGACCCTTTCTCTACAAAAAAAAAAAAAAAAAAATTGGCCCAGTGTGGCGGCCCACTCCTCTAGTCCCAGCAACTCAGGGGACTGAGCCAGGAGGACTGCTTGAGCCTAGGGGTTTGAAGTTGTAGTGAGCCATAATAGCACCACTGCACTTCAGCCTACAGAGAAAGGTCACATCTCAAAAAAAAGAAATATTTCCAAGAAAACAATAAAAATAACACAACAATAAAAATATATACATAAATTAAAAACCAATACAGAATAACAACTATTTACATAACATATATTTTGTATTATATATTGTAGGTAATCTAAAGATAATTTAAAACATTTGGGAGGATGTGCGTAGGTTATATGCAAATATTATCTCATTTTTTATAAGAGACCTGAACATCCTTGGATTTTGGTATTCCTGAGGCATCTTGGAACCAGTCGCTGGGACGTAACTGTATTCAGTTCTGCCCACACATCTAACATGTTACCCAAGTTTGGCCAATCAGAAAATTTCCTTAGAATTTTGAGTTCAGCATGTTTTTTCCTTGGGGTTCAGCATTTAATGACTTTGTAAGCCTGACATTTACAGAAGCAATCTTGTTACAAGGTATAGAGTTTTTATCCAAAACTTTAACTAAGCAGGAAAGCTTAGTTAAGGGAGATGGGAAAAGTTATGGGAGATGGGAAAAGAGAGATTCAGAGAGAGAGCCATGATAATACCCTTCATAACTCTGAATCCAACATTCCTCCCATTGGAATTCCAAGAAAAGCAATCTAATACATATTTTAAAAACTAATTTGGACTAAATTAATCATGATGAATCAAACACATAAAAGTTCCCCTACAAAATAGTGGGAATTCCACACATTTAAAAAATTATTGAATGGAATCATTGCTGCTCACAATTTATACAAGTAGTAATTTAGGTCAAAGTGGTTAAATAAAATGGGGCAAGTTTATGTAACAAGACTTAGGCCTAACAAAAAAAGTCTTCAGTACTTATTACCTAAGGTTAAATTCTAGATTGCAAACCCCTCTACTTATCCTCAATGACAACTATAACAGGTTTTAAAACCTCCTAAATCTGCTGTAGATACAGATAATAATAATAAGGTTGTGTGTTTCCTTCAAGGGGCTATTAGGAAAAAATTAGTAAAAAGGTGTAACAGGAATAAATTATGGATTACTATGTAGCACAAAGGATAGTGGATTTTTTCTAACTATAATTACTAGCAAAGCAGATAAATGTAACAGCGTTATGGGTAGCTGTGTCTAATTTGTCTTGGGCTGTCTCGCTGTGTTTATTAATAGTTTGGAGGAATAAACATGTTGTTAATTTTATACTCCAGCTATAAAATGCCATCTTTTCACATTAAACATTTTAAAAAACAGAAGTTAAAGCTCAGAATAAAATTAAAAGAAGCATTTGAATTTTGTTTCCTATTTTATTCATAAGATAAAACCAATGAAAGTTACCCCTGCTTTTAGTTATAAAAATTTTGAAATTTACATTAACATAATGTTTTCTGGCAAGTAAATGCTGAATTGACAAATATATTTTTCTTCCTAAGTCTCATTAAATAAATACATATTTATTCACTCTCTAAACCAGCTACCAAAATAGGTATATTTAAACATTTATCAGAGAAGTTATTTTCCTCCTATAAGAAGTCGTGCAGCAAGGTGAGTTATATCAAACATAAAATGTTTTATTTAGTTTGTTATCTCACTCTCATTATTCAAGAGTTTTAAAGTTGCTATAACTATTCTAAATCTGTATGGATGTTTATTTGAGTAATAAACATTTAGTTTGAAAATTACAAAATACAAACATAAACTAACTTAGACAAAATGAGGAATTAATTAAATCATGTAATGTAATGTCAGGAGGTCAGGGGAATAGTACTTTCCAGGGATACATGAATCATAGTCTTGAAATACCTTTAAACTTCTACCTTAATATGTTTTTTTGTCTTATTTTATGGGGCAGCATTATTTTCAAGATTAGCTACCACGTCAAGGATGTAAATACGGCCAATAGCATTTCTTGCACTCACTCAAATTACCATCTATAAAAATAAATCATCTTCCTTTTTTCCTTTTTACTTAAAGACTATGGACAGCACTCTGGCCTAACTTGGGTCATGGGCCCACACTCATGGGGAAAGTGACAGGTGGAACAATGACAGTAACTTGAAACCCCATTTGAGCCTACATGGTTAGAGTTTAGGGGAAGGGCCATTCACCAAATGAGCAGAATAAGAAGGAAAGAGAAATGCCAGAGGAAAATTATAACTGTCCATTGTCATTTTTTGTTGATTCAGTCTTTCAGTAGGCAAGACTATGAGTTTTTAATCATCGTATTTATATACCCTACCTGGCCACATTCGAAGGCACATATGGAAACTTTATGCCTCATGTTACCAAGGCATCAAACTGAATAAAAAACTGTTTTCTAACCTGCAGTCTTTAACTCCTTCCTGCCTAACTGCCCTTTTCTGTCCCTAATTGGTTATTCTGGCCTACTTCTTCCACAATGACATTCACACATCCATGCCTTCTCATCAAGGCTAAATCCTTTCTATAGAGACCATTTTACAGCAAAGTTGAAGTCACGGCTCTTTTCATATGCATTATGTTTTCATAGGCCCTCTATAAACAAGAAAAAACAACTCATGCATCAATTAGCTTTCTGTCTGCGTTTTTTTTTTAACTTGCTAGTTAAATATTTCATACGCTAATTGGTCTTGTCATTTTGATAAAATTTGAGTGAAGCTAAAATTCAGTTGCAATAGGAAATTAAATTGTGCATATACTTTTGAAATCTAAATGCTGAAACCGTGAGTTCTATTGGAAATGGAAGAAATTTCGTCAAATAACAAATGATTACAAATGGCAAGCATGTGTGATTAGGACCTCAGTTAATGGCTTTGCTGCATGAGAAAAGCTGCCCAGGTGTTATCGTCGCCCTTCAGTTGATGAATAGCCTTTTACACCTTTGTGGAGACTTTAGATTTTATTCTGAGTGAAGTGGAAGCCTCTGTAAAGGTGGAAACAGATGAAGGCAGAGCATCCATCAACCTGGGTGCCTAAGTGGCTATGATGAGTACAGCAGGTTTCCCAACTTGTGCATGAAGAAGAAAAAACGTTCTCATTTTTCAAAGCTGCTGAAATTTTCAGGGGTTTTCATATTGTTGTTACACTATGAACTTGACTTTAGAGGTAAGAGGCTATGGTACCAGAACTGAGGTGGTTCATAAAGGTAGTGAGGAAAGTTCAGCTACTAAACATATTTCAAAGGTGAAAGTGAGAGGATTTAATAATGAATTAAGGAAGAGAAATAATGGAGTCAGCAGTGGCTAGAGAGATTTAAGCCTGGGGAAAAAAGGGTGTAGTAATCTTCTAATAAGAGGAAAATACTGAGCATAGAGCCACATTCAGAGGTAGAGGTGTGTGTGTGTGTGTGTGTGTGTGTGTGTGTGTGTGTGTGTGTGTATGTGTAGATGAGGGGTGTTGTTGTTTGTTCAAAAAAACATATTAACTTCAAGAAGTCTACTGGATATTTAAATGGAGATGGTGAATAGGCAATTGGATAGATGAAGGTGTGATTTTGGAGTTCAGTGAGAGGCCCCAGTTGGAGACATACATTTGAGAGTCATTATTATAAGAATGGTTTTAAATTTATGAAACTATGAGATCACCAAGGTAGTGAGGATAGAGAAAGAGAGAATTGAGCCCTAGAGTGCTTCCAATTTGGGATTCCAGAAAGAAAGGGAGGAAGCCAGCAAAAGAAAACAAGAGAGTGACCAGAGAACTTAAAAGGAAAGAATGTTGTCTAAGAGGGTGAGTGAAGAAAGAGATAGGCTGTGAAATGCTCTTGAGAAGGAGTTCACCTTTGGACATGGTAATGTGGAGAGTTGACAAGAACTGTGGTGGAGTTGAAAGCCTAAGTACAGCGGGGATGAGAGACCGGAAGGAGAATGTAGACAATGCTTATGAGGAGTTTAGCTGTAAAGGGGATCTGAGAAATCAGGCAGCAACCTGAGAAGGATGTGCTGTCAATAACAGGATATTTATATAATATACATATCTATCTATCTATCATCTATCTATCTATCTATCTATCATCTATCTACACACACACAGATACATATGCACACATATGACATAGCACATTTTATGCTGCTGAGAATGACCTTAGAAATCAAAATGAATTTGCAGAGGAGAGAATTGCAGGAGTGATGCTCCTTAGTTAGCAGGTGGGGAAGGCATACTGTGCACCAGTGGAAGGATTTTTCATAGAAGTATGAACATTGAAACCACTGTATTGCATTGTCTTCTGCCAAGAAGGCAGAGAATGTAAGGAGACAGATGAGACAGATGAAGTACATGGTTGGATTTGATGGTCAGAGCTTGTGAGAGATCTCTTCTAATTTTTATTTTCTGAGAAAAAAAGGAAGCAAATAATTTGGCTGATAGAGAAGAAGGGTAAAAAGGTAAAGGAGTTTTAAAAAAGGAACAGTTTGGAGAGAGTAGTCTCAGAAAAGAGAGAGTGAACTATTAGGATTCTATTTCTAAAACATAATGGAATCACCAGGCATTCTTTCAAAAGCTAACTTAGGATTGATTTCACAAACGTCCACTGAGCCCCTGCTGCATGTGTGGAATAGTGGAGCAATAGTAAGTAGTACAAATTCCTGGGAATGTTAGTGTCTATACATATTTTTAGAGGGAAGACAGCCCAAGTGGTTTACCACATTCCGCTGATAGGCTTATATCACATGTTCAAGCCATGGTGTATTTTCTTCTTTCTCCTCAGATTTGTATAACATATATTTTCACCTCTACATCAGCATGGTATCTTTCAAGGCAATTATTTTATATGCCTTTCCTTCTGGTGTATTTTAGCATTAACTACTTCATCTGTTAGCATTAGCTACTTCATCATTTTTGACCTTATATTCCAAAATTAATATAGCTAACCGGATATGTGCAAGTGACTAACAAAATTACTTAATTGTTTATACTGACATTAATTATTTTTTGAAAAATACTGTTCTTAATTGCAGAGGTAATTTATTACATGTGCTCCTCAAGGCTCCTTTAACTACTTACAACAAACAAACTTTCTAAAAAATAACCACAATTCTTATTTTATGGTCTAGAAACCATTTTTCCCTATTTTTTGCATTATAAATAATTATTAAACTTTCTTTCCTACCTTAGGCTTATTGTCTTTGGGGTTTTTCTACTGAGATGTCTCAAGATATTTCTTTGCCCTGAGGACAATTAATCATTATTCCACATGTGTAATAAATTTTATTTTTTTAGTGCCCTTGGTTTATGCAGATATCAATAAAACATTCTATGATAAGATTCACAGTGATGTTTTTTGCTGGAATAGGCAGTCAGAAGAGATGGTGTCAGCTCAGGTTATATATAGTGAACATTTACTATGGCCTCACTTCCTGGAATAAACTCTTGACCACGCCTTTTGTTTTTTTTTTTTAATAACTAACCTTCTAGAAGAGTAAGACAAGTGGCTAAATTTAATACAATGATAACAATAATAATAATAACTTCACTTCAAAATTTAAATAATCTAGACATTAGTTTCATTTAGCTAGATGTTTAATTTTGAAAAAATAGCATCTTGTAAGTCTTCTTAAATGTAATGTAATCCTTCTTCTTACAGGATTACCTCCACAAATTCAAGAAAGATACCCACTCTTTCTCTGTTTGAAAACTTCAAATGGCAGTGTTCACTGACTTAAAAGATTCCCCATATAATCTTAAACATCCCACATTGTCTACTTCTAACTTCCACCATGGAGTCCTCATTCTTAGGGATAATAAAAAGTAAGTCTACACCTAAATAGGAGAGTAGATCAAAGTTAGAAACATGGCTTTGATGTTCTCTGTTTCCTGATTTCCATATTACACATCCACATTTCTGAGCTACTCTCTCCTGAATATAATCTGGTTTATTTTAAAATATCTTTATTAAAATTAAAGACTATTATCCAAGTGTAATTCTAAAACTACAAAGTAGAGGGGAAGGATTTAATTCTTTACTACACATAATATTTTAGTGAATGAAACCTGCAATTTTGCTTGCTTTTGTTGATCACACTGCTTTATTCTATGTTGGGTTGGTTTTCTAAAATACTTAAGTATCCCCTCCATAGATGACACTAAAATTTCTCCCTTGTGTTATTCTCTAAATAAAAATAAAGAAATCATATCACCTAGATTTTCACCATCTAGAAATGACTTCTTGAAGAGAGTACTTATATTTCTTTTTCAATGTTGTATCTAGTCCATCTCATCATTTTTTAAACCTAATCTAGGGAATCATCACCCAATCCAATTTCAGCTCGAATGTTTTGGACAAAGTTTATGTAATTTCTCTGCTGGAAGGATAGGACCCGTGGCCTAAAATAAACCAATCAGATTATTCTTTCACCCACACCACAAAGGTTAGTTCAGGAATGGGCCTATGAAGACTGATACTGCTCAAGTTTTTATTTGACCTTTCAGGACACTGATCTATTCCACCCCTACCCGCTTTCCCAAGTCCCTAGCAGGACATGAACAAGAGAGGATATAGGGCAGCACCTATGGCCAATTTACAGCTACATAGGCCAATCCCAAGGGAGTAGAGTCCAAAAGCAGAGAGAGGTAAATCTCCTGATGATATTGTGTGACCTCTGCATCAAGCTAAACTCAAAGCCAGTTTACTCCAGAATAGTAGTTGGATAAACTAATAAATTCCTTCTTTGAGATCATCTGCCACTTGCAAGATCAAGTATCTTCAGTGATACACCACTGTTAAAAGTGTATGTGTTCCAGTCTCTATCCTGATTAAAAATAAATATTATATGTGTCTTGGTCAAATACCTAATTACATAGGTCGGTGGTGTCCCTGTTCTAGATCTCTAATAGTCACTCACCTACCACAAAAGAGAAGTAATTTCTATACTTCTGCCTTGATTTTTGCGTGAGGCCTTGTATTTACCCTATTATAGTGCTCATGGTATAATTTTTACTTATTTGTTTGCTGAAGTCCTTGGAGACAAGATCTATGTCTATTACACTGATCTATGTCCAACATTAAGCAGATTTCCTTGCATGTATTATGGGATTATTAAATATTTTTTGAGTGAATGAATGAAGGAAAGCATAATTTCTACAAGAAAAGTAAGAGTCAGACCTACAGGATCTCTTCTGCATTTTTTCCTACATGTTTACCACTGTCTGCAATATCATCTGAAGGAAATTAGCAAAAAAGAAAAAGAGGGAGGAAAAAAAAAGACACTAAAGCAGTCTACCACCATTGTTTCCTAGAATTAGAAGACAAAGTGCTTTTGGGTCCCAAAAGACAGTGAAGCTTTATTTGGTGACTTTCATACTGACTTCACTCTACTTACTGGTGATGATGGGCAAGTAATTTACCTATTCCAATGCTGGGTTTCTCTTTCTATAAAAAGTGGATTATAATGGTTACCTTACAGAGTTGTTATGATTAAATGAGAAAACAGATTTAATAACTGTTGTTATGATTACTTTAAAATGCTGCTGATAAAATGAATCTATACTGGCAGAATTTGCTGTTGTTTCAAAAATACGCTTTTGGGATCCCTAGAGAGGCTGCAGTTGAGGGAGATATCACTTTGATGTTTTTAAAGCTTTACTTGCACTGAAAGGAAAATCTTATAGACTTTTAGGATATATAACGACAAAATTTGCCTGGATATTTCACATCTGCATTATTAAATATGTATCTCAAGTCACAAGGAAAACTCAGGCCACACTGTCACATTATTGTCTAACAAATTGATCAAAATCTCTCCATATTTTTAAATTGAGATTAACAGATTAAAAAATAACTGGTGTCTAACTGACATTCCATTTCTTATGCCACTCTGTGTCATTTTCCCAGGAAAATTTATGATATTTGCAAGAGACTACTGTATAATTACATTATTTTATTTAACTTTTTTCAGAAAATAATTTATCCTATTAATAAATATGAACTGGAATTTAAAATAATTTATCTAACGTGTGCAAGACCTGCTAAAAATTCTTGATATATCAATGCGTACAGAGAAGAAATATGTGGTCTATTTACTGATATTTACTGATTCTTCTTTATATGCATTTCAATTCTCCCTGTTGAAAGAACTTAATAAAAGATAATACAAGGCTGGGTGCAGTGACTCATGCCTGTAATCCCAGCACTTTGGGAGATGCAGGCAGGAAGATCACTTTAGTCCAGCAGTTTGAGACTAGCCTGGGCATCACAGTGAGACCTCACCTCTACAAAAATAAACAAAATTAGCCAGGCATGGTGGCACGTGCCCATGGTCCCAGCTACACAGGAGGCTGAGGTGAGAGTATCTCTTGATCCCAGGAGGTTGAGGCAGCAGTGAGGCGAGATTACACTACTGCATTAAAGCCAGGTAGACAGAACAAGACCCTGTCTCAAAATATAATAATAATAATAACAATAAAACAGACTGGGCGCAGTGGCTCATACGTGTAATCCCAGCACTTTGGGAGGCCGAGGCGCGCACATCACAAGGTCAGGAGATTGAGACCACCCTGGCTAACACGGTGAAACCCCGTCTCTACTAAAACTACAAAAAATTAGCCAAGCATGGTGGCATGTGCCTGTAGTCCCAGCTACTAGGGAGGCCGAGGCAGGAGAACTGCATGAACACGGGAGGCGGAGGTTGCAGTAAGCCGAGATCGCGCCACTGCACTCCAGCCTGGTGACAGAGCAAGACTCTGTCTCAAAAAAATAAATATAATATAATAATATAATATAACACACCTCTCAAGTTCAGAGGTGATCTTGTTTTTGTCCTCAGAGAGGGTAGCCCCAAGTCCCCAAAATAAGCATTAAAAAGATTAAAAATAGTCGCATGTATACTAGTCCTCTTTTCAGGCCTAAATATTTTTAACATGAACCTTCGCTCCTTCTGAGTTTCTAATATTTATTTTAAAATGCCCATGTCCTTACCTCATTTTTGCATTCAGCCCAAGCTCACTTTTGTATTGTTCAAACCAAAAGTGAATATGTGAAAAGTTATCTCAGATATTCCCACAATAAGTTATAGTGGTAACTCCATCTTACTTTCTCTAAAACAGATTAGCTTCCAGAGCTAATATCATAGTAAGTAACAAGATATCATAGTAAGTAACAAGTCAGAAGACTTTCCACTGTTGGAAAATCTCTTATTCTCAAATGTTTAAACAACTATTGTCTTACCTAAGTTCCATGATTATAAAACACTTGAAAATATACTCTCTTTCCTTCAAAGCCCTTCGAGCATAGCCAGTGTTTTTAACACAGTCAAGACGCTGTCATCTGAACGCAGATTTACAACCTAATCTGTTGTGGAACAAAAGGCTAACTTGAAAGGAATCTACTATTGCCTTGTAATTGTGGAGCCTCACTAAGTCAAGGCTGGGAAATACTGATTAAACCAGGTCTAATGTGTACTAGATTTTCCATTTTTTACTTATCTGAATGAATTTTAAAAAATTTTATCTGGAATATAAAATAATACAACTGCCCCAATATCACTCAAAAGTGTATGAATTATCTACATTTATAACTTGATAGTAACTCCTGGATTACTATCAAATATCCTGAAAAAATTTATCTAGATTTCAATGTCTAACAATACCAATTGGATGCATTTGTTAAATCTTGCCCAAATACATATTTGCAAAACTCCAGAAAAAAGATAACTTTCTAAAACCAAGTGCTTTTCAAATAAGGAGAAAGATGTGGGTGATCAGAAAAAAAGCTATAATCTTCTCAATATACAAGTCTAGAAAATGGAAGGATGTTCTTTTAAACTAAAACTTAACATGAATACATATGAAAGATACTATATGTTATTTTGTCCAATTATAAATGTACACATAAATATTTAAAATAGGTTTCTTTTAGTTACATGTAAATGTAGAAATTTAAGTGATCTGTAGTCTGCCATATATATTATTTTGAGCTAGAACAACTTGTTACAAAAGATTCAAAAGTAAAATACATAATATTCTAATGCCTGGTAGACAATAATATTTAATGGTATATTCAAAGCAATAAGCTTCTGTAAAGGACTCTTTGCAATTTCTCAATGAGAAAAGCAGATTTTGTAGAGAGAAAGCAAATAGCCAAAGGTTTTAGTTTGTGCAGAATATTATTTGCCACATACAGTAATTGAAAAAATTTGATGGAAATAGATACGAATGTATCCCTTAAACAGCACAAATTCTTTATGAGTTCTATACTAGACAAATCTTACCTGACCAATTCACCACCACAAAGATGTTTCAGTGTAAAGCTCTAATGGGGTATTGTAAATGAATGATCCTTAAAGAGCTTTGTTAAAATACATTTCACAAACTTTCCTCAGTGAGCACAAAAGACATTTTGGATATATCTTTTTCTAAAATTGAGGCTTTTATCTCAGAATGTATTTATTATTGGAGTTTTAGTTTTATCACCAGAGCCACCTAATCATATATTGTATATCTTACAAATGCATGCCTCTCTTTTAAGGCAATCTGCATAGAATCCTAGTCATAATTTGAAAACATCAACTTTTTAAATATCACAGCACCTGTGGTATTATCTCCAAAAAAAAAAAAGAGTAGTTTTCACCAAATACTCATCAAACTATAATTTCTCAATTATCTTTTCGATTTCTGCTTATATATTCTGTCCCTCTGAGCATCAATCTCCTACATTCTGTTTATGTACATCGGGCACTAGATTGAACTATTAAAGCAAAACTAGACAAAACACAAAAGACTTTACTCCTCCTACAGCCGTAATCCTTCCCCCTTCCCCGCAAAATCTACACTTTAGTCTCCATTTTTGCACCTCCCATTCCAACCTGACTTTATCTTTCACTCCACTGACTGCCCTTGTGTCTTCTGCCCTCGTAAAACAAACTTGTAAGTGACATTCACAAAGTTGATAACTTTTGCTTCTTGAAACATCTATTTCTGAAACATCTATAATACCAAGCTCTTAACTTTTCCTTTAATATCTCTGGCAATTTCTTTCAGCCTCTCTTGCTTTATTTTCCACCATTGAATTTGTAGGTGTTGGACTTCCCCAGGTCTTGATCCTGGACTGTATTCCCTTTTTCTTTTGACACACTGTCTCTTTTTAGTCTCATCTATTCCAAGAGCATCAACTATAATCTATAAAGATTCCCATATTTAAAACTTCAGCTCAATCTCTTCCATTACACTTTTAATAAAGTCCAAACACCTATACATGTTCCTGCATATTCTGACTCCTAGTACAAACCACACTCCCCTTCCCCCACACATCATAAATATATATATATATATATAATATATATATATATATATATACATCACACAATGATCCAGCAATCAATGGCTGAGTCCTTTCAATACATCAGATCTCAATTTAAATGCTGTCTCTCAGAGAGGCCTGCTCTAATAATCTTATCTATTTAAATAACTTCCCACCCCAACGCATTATATTCTATCATTGCCTTAAGTTTATTTTCTCCACTGCCCTTACTCAGAGTTGAACTTGTGGACATTTTGTCTTTATTCACTGTGTGCCTCCCTTGTCAAACTGTAAGCTCCATTAGGGCAGATCTTGTCTGTTTATCCACTTCTGTGTACTCAGCACCTAGTACAAAGCTTGGCATATAGTAGGCATTTTTTAAATATTTCCTTCAAGATGCATGCATGCATGAATGAATGAACACATTCATTTTTTTCTAGTAGCTTATTTCAGAAAAGCTATGTGGTTTTAATATCCTTCTTGTAATTTATAGTTCTATACAGATAATTCCTGAAAAAAAAATCCTATTGGAAAGTGTGATAATTAAATATGATTTTATACCATTATCAATAGTTATTTTGTCAAAATTATTTTCACAGTTAATAAGTTTATAAACATATAAGATGATGACAAATTTAACTCCTAAAAGTTTACAATTGTAACTATGAAAAGGCCAACCCAAGAGCAATGGGTCATCTTAGCTTTGGCCTGTTTCTCTTGTGTGTCTATATATTTTGCCCAGGTTATAATTGTTTTGTTATGAGACAAGTCAACTTGTTAATTGTTCAAATATTATAATCTAATCAAGTAGGTGAAACGTTATTTCTTCAAAAATATCACCTTGTGGTGGAAGAGAGAAAGAATATCCATGCTTCTTTTATCTACAGTGAAGGTGAAGAGCAACATAAACTTCAGGTAAGTGTGCCTTGTGAACACTTGGAATTGCCAAATTTGATCATATTGCTTAGTTGTGTCATCCTTTTCATCTTTTGGGGGAACTCAAAGATAGGTTTCATCACTATAAAGTGTAGGTGTTCAAAAACCATCTCTTATTGTATGAATTTTATCATCTTGGACATTCCTGAAAGTATCATTTTTATAGATACTATTGATAGCCTCTTTCAACTTCCATTTCACTCCACTTTCACTTGAGAAAATTGGAATGCATCTTACAGACTCACTTGCAGCCAGAGTTCTGGAGACATATCAAGTTCCACCAGACTGAAAGCAGAAATGGTTTGGCAGAGCAGATGAATGATTTGGCAAATGAAGATGTTAGTAATCTGCTGAGGCTTGCCTCAACATTTCCAGGATCTAGTCTTTGTGGTTGTGAGAAGACAGTGCTGGTGAACAAAGCAGTCTCCTAACCTGTTGATCTGCCCTGATGCTTAATAATCCAAATTTTGATTATTTGATTTCAGTTATTTTAGTCCTTCAATAACATTGTAGGTACTCAGTTCCCTGTATAGAATGTCTTCTAGCAGTGCCAACTACAGTGTTTAGTGTTTCTAGCACTGAAGTCTAATACAAACCTAGAGAGATGTTTTTAAAGTCTTTATTTCTTTTGTTGATTGCTTTTTTCATGGTATTTCTTCAAGTAAAAATGTACCTTATAACATTGCAAAAATACCAAGATGATTTTTTTTTAATTTTACATAATGTTTTTAATTGGCAGGTATTTATTTAATTTTTTGCCATGGATGATTTCAAATATACACTAAATAAAGGAGTGTTATAATTAACCCCAATATACCAATTGCTCAGTTTCAACCCCTATTAATTAATGGGTTGGCAATTTTGTATCATATAAAGCCCATCCACCTACAACTTCCCCAGAGATCACTGGCAAAGTGTGATTTACCAGTGTCATACGGTAGAAGCCCATTTATCACTGAATAGAGTTTAAGCCTTAGGTTTGTCATGTCGGCATAATAATACAATATAAGGGAATAAAATAAAATAATAATATAACATATAACATATAACTAAATGCATATATTTTATAATATAAATAATATTAACATTAACATAAATATAATAAAATATCACAATAACACTCATATATTAAATAAGCATGTAGGCATATCTTATGCCTTATAAATTTGCTATTTGGGGCTACAGTAGTGAGATCATATGCTCTGCCATGTTCCTCTACTTTAGGAAGAAATGACCTTTGTCCCCCAGCTCTTCAAGATTTCAGGTTATTCTCAATTTCTCTCATTATCTCTGTAAAATTTTACTACTTTCATAATAAGCTTGAAACCTGCTGTTTGTAAACCATATTGCTGTCACATGAAAATATAAAGAATTATTAAACCCTAAAAAGAAACGAGTTAAAAACTAGCACTAACTGAAACTCAATCTCTCTGTCTCTCTCTCTCTCTCTCTCTCTGACACAGACACACACAAACACAAACACACACACACACACATGCACACACTGTTTTGAGTATTTGGGGGTTGAGGGATTGTAAACAAATAAACTCTGCCTATCTTTTATCAGGAAGTTGAACTGATTTGGAAAAATCAATGGAATTTTGTGTAATCAAAAGTAAAAATGACAAGCATACAAACAGAAAACTGGCTCCAAGAAAGACAACACTAGCTGAATAGTCCTGCCTAGATGTGCTGAGCAATTACTCAGTTTGGTCTCTGCTTCGGTGGCTGAGCACTGTCCTTGTAGGAAGTGATATGGGCATAATCCGTTCTCTTGCCAGTGGTGCACAACCTCACTTTGACATGACTGCTGGGCTAATAACACAGGTCTCCCAGTGGCAGGGGAGTATCAGATTTTCCCATGAACCATTGCACATAAACAAGTTTCATCATTTCCCTCAAAAAGCTAAAACCAAGCCAAACACACATGCACACACACATACGCATGAGCACACACAAACACACACAAAACCATTGAGTTTTGCCAAAAACACGTTTTCAGATTTTGCATTTGCGTGCATATGAAAAATGCTTGAAAATTACAACTCAAAATTTTCTTCTGCAACTCTTTTAGTAAAATTGATGGCAAGGAAGAAGTATCTTGGTTTATCTTTACCCCTCAATCATGTAATTTTCACAAATCCACTGCTCTAAGCAAGCAGTTTCTCAGATTCATAGAGTCAGAACTGTTTTTCCCTTCTTATGATAAAATACATATTTCATCAGAAAATAAGAAAGTTTTAAAAGAAAATGAGTGAATATTTAATAGAACAATAGACTACAATAATACAGCCTTAATAATGGAAATTTGGATGCAAAGGAATGGGCAATCAACTCTTGGACACACAGAATGTCTGGCTGATCCTTCTTGCTCATTTCATGGGCCACATAATCATGCAATTCTTAATATTTTACATTTTTTCTACCCCATTTATAGCATGATGCCAGATATTTCTACGCATTTCTATTTGCTGCTTGCTAATCATAATCTTTATATAGTTGACATCCTATGTATGCTCTTCTTTTTAGGGTCCTCACCACCATCATTTTTTCCACATACATTATTACTACTTAGAAAAGGAAAGATTTTCACTAAAATGCCGTCTAACCCAGCCTGCCCTCCCCAGACGGTTCCCCACCCTGAAGTTTTCAATCTTCTTCGTTTAAGCTTACCTACCACCTCATGTTCTGGGGTACAATTTTTAGCTTACTATTACACAGGAAAGATCTGGAAATCTCATTTACTTTAAGTTCTTAATAGCTGAGAGGAATTAGGTTTTTACCCCATATACACAAGCCCTAGAAGATCTGCATTTTAATAGGGGACGATTCCTTCATAACTCAAAGGAATGGAATGGTTCTAATGGTAGAATTTTAAGCATCACTGACATCAGTGGAGGAAATCTTTCAGGTGAGAATGCTTATCACCAAACCATAATACTTGAGATGATTGTCTTTTCCATGTAAACTTAAGCCTAACCTGAATCGAAGCCAATATTCATGTTTGAACAAGAATAGAAACAGAACAAAATTTAAAGCAAAAATCGAAACTGTCAAATAGTTGAATAACCTTATTTCTTAATAGGGTGCATTATTCTTTCTCAGCTTCTTATCTTTGCAATGTGGTATTGTTATTACTATGTATCTCTTCTCAAGTTCATTGTATCTTGACCAAGGTGGTCCTCACCTTGATTAAACTTTAATAGGTTTCTTTCTGACCTTCAGCAGCTCCTAATCTCCCTTTTCTTAGAGCATTTACTTCAGAAAACTGGAAAACTTGTCACTGTAAATTCTTTCTCTACTTTATTGAGATACAGATTTTTTTTTTTTTTTTTTTTTTTTTTTGTAGGGGGATGAGGAGACAGGGTCTTCCTCTGCTACCCAGGCTGGAGTGCAGTAGTGCAATTATGGTGCTCACTACAGCCTCAACCTCCTGGGCTCAAGCAATGCTCCTGTCTTGGCCACTCTAGTAGCTGGGACATTTACAAGCCACTTTTCAGTTTCACAACCCATAAAGCCTTTCTCAAGGAACTGAGAGCCATCCCTTTGAAATGTAATCATCAAGAAAGATAGTGCCCCATCTCTAAGTTTCTGTGGAAGAGTAGGAGCCTAACTTCCTTGGACTCCTCGCTCCACATTGTGAAACTACTTCTTACCATGCAGATATAAGACTGAAAGTTTACGTTTTGAGGGGGAAAAGCCAATATGCAAAAACAGATGTCCTGTGATTCCCCATACCAGCCATTACAAACATTCCTGCGTTTTTTTGGGGGGGAATTGAGTTCAGACTCAATTCCAGTCTCTCTGTCCTATTGCAATAGCCTTGAATAAAGTCTTCTTTGCCTGTTTAACTTTGTCTAGTGCAAGTTTTGCTTTGACCTTCACGTCTTGGGTAGATATAAGTAACTGTGTGCAATTTGTGTATGTTGCATGAGGAGTCTTTCATGAAGCAAACATCCTGAACGTAATCCATCTAAGGAAACAAAGAAAGTGCAATACCTTTTTTTTCCACATCAATGGCAGTTTCCTTCTCACTTTTCTTTTTGATATCTTCTTTTTCTGCTGGTAAAATAAGAAAGTTATAAGCCTTTACCTGTTTAACTTGCAAATATTTCAGGGCATGCATGACTACCAGTGAGGCATCTAATTTATCTTGTATAGAGAAATCTTAAATCAGCCATAAGTCATGTCAAATATGAATAAGGTAGCACCTTCATAACAGACTAGTGGCTTAGGTATAATTTCTCTTCAGGAAACAGAACTTTTTTTTTTTTGCCAAAGGCAAAAATTATTTAATAACAGTGAAAACATTAAATGGCATTATTAATTATGGTATTATTTAACAGCTTTCCTAACATATATTGAAAAGAATATATTGAATGTTCTCTGAGCTATGAGGTCACCAGAACCATGTCAAAAGTTCTGAAATCTCTGAAGTTCACTTGGGACATCAGATAAATTATTTGAAAACAACCAATTAAAATATATATATATGTGTAAAACAAACCAATCAAGTATTTTCTGCCCTCTACATAAAATGACTTTTAAAATTAGACTGAATTAGTTAAATAGTAACCATCATATTCACATATATAGTTAAAGTAAAGTAGTGAATTAGAGAGAATTAAGCAGCTGCTCTTAAGAAAGAAAAAATAATCACAGTAGTAATTTTCAAAAAGTGTTTAGGATTGAATTCTCTTTTTAAAAATTGACAATTTTAATTTTATTTGGAATATCTAGACATGTTAAGAGTGTTCACTAATAACAATGACAATGCATTTATTAAGGGAATTTCTTTCCTAGAAAATAATAGATTTACCAGTAGTATTATGCATGGACACTAATTGATTTATGTGGTACATGGCTTTTAAATTTCCTACCTTTCTTTTTTGTTTCAGAAGTAACTTTCTTCTCAGCCTTCTTCTTTTCCCCTTCTTTTTCTAGAGAATACATTTAAAATATTTCCTTTAGGGAAATTTAGTATGAAAGCAAAACCAAGGTTGAAATGAAGGATTTTTGTTAAGTCAGTTCTGCCTCCAGCTAGCTTTGTGACTGAGCAAGTAATTTAATCCCACTAAGTCTTATTTTCCTCATTTATCAAATAATAATACCTCCCTCAAAGTTAATGTTTACAAAACACTGTGTAAAGTGCCTGGCTCACAGTAAATGTGTAACGTTGTAGACTGCTAATACTGTTTACAAATAATGAATGTGATAGTTTGAACTTTCTGAACCAAACAATTGTTTATCTAGTGCCTAAAAGTATTGATATATAAAATTAAAATATATTTCTTGGAAAATATACTGCAGATAAACTAGAAGAATTAATATTTGTTTTCTTTTATACATTTAATTTCATTAGAAATAATATATTAGACCATTAAAAAGGTATCTTTTGATGTAGCTGTTTTTCATATCTGGCTCTTGCCAACAGGCATTTAAGCCTGATGACAAGTGTCTGGCAGTGTGTTGGAAACATAACTTCCACGGTCCTTTCTGAGTGGTTGTATCAACAAAGCTGTTCAATCTTTGCACCCAGAGGTTGCAGTAAGTCTGGATGCCACATCAAACTGTTTGTGGTACTTCTAAACTTCGTGGAAGAGCCCTGTTTCATAAATCTGAGACAGCCTTGGTCTGAGGGAGCAAAGACAGAGAATTCACGTGCTGCCCAGGCATAGCCACATAGCAGGTGGACATCCCTGGACACTTTTCTGGTAAGCATAATCATTTTAGATAACAAAGTCCTGTACTAATACATAGTTGTTGAAATTGAATGTTCAGTGGTTTTAGATTTGGGACAATAATAGCTACGGTTAATGTTGTAAATGTACTGATTTTTATCTTCAATTAGCAGTGCTATTTACCTTATATTTGAAATTCCTTTCTCTTTGTCAGTTGTCTCTCATCTCAGGTACAGGTACATTCAAAGACTTCCGTTACCCAGAACTATTATAAGATCATTATTATGCTAAAGAAATTCAATATGTAGTTCTAGAATGAATCCTTAAGTTGTCTACTAATGACTGCATCTTATTAAATAGAGGAATTAACTCATTCCCATAGGTATAGAGCTTTTTTACCTACAAGATCAAAGACAACACTTTCTTTCAATGTTAGACATATAATTTATAAAGAACCCCTTTCATGATTTCTAGAGATAATCTAATGTCTCAGGGAAAAATGTATTCACACTTTGTCTAAAAGTGTCTACAGCATACTATTACAGCTCATCCAATCAGAAGTAGAAAGTCAAGAAGTCAAATTTTGATAGTTTCAGAGATAGAAATAAACCAATTGATTTCCACTTCTTCTTTTCTAAAGGTTTATGCATATTAAACATGTAGATCATATTTAAAATTCTGAATGAAGATACTTTCAAGTATCACTACTTTCAGCTTCTCTGGGAGAAATTTTATGTAGTAGTGAATTTTACATCTTCTCTAAATAAATGTATATGCCAGACAATTGAATAGCCATTTGCTAAGCATCACCTCTGATGTCATGTATCAGCAAAGGGGTTAATTAAAATACAAATGACTTGTAAATATTTCTAAGCTCAAGCTAAACACTAATGCCATACTAACCATAAGATCAGAACTCAGTATCCAAGTCTCCAAGTTTCATAAGGTTGATGAATAAATATTTCATTAAAAAGCTTGTGCCAATTAGTCAATCTTACACCGAACTTCACAAAGAAAGTAGATATTTGAACCCAGAATATGGAAGGCATTCATTTATTTTTCAATTTTCTTTTAGACAATGCTCTTGTGCAACAAATTCTACCCTTCAAATTAATATAGCTGGAATTTTATTGTGGTGATACAGTATTCTTGTCTTCGTCCAAATTGAATTAATGCTCCTATTATACACTCTGCTTGTGATTACAGTCATACACTGTGAGAGTCATGAATAAGAGCAGAAGTCCACAAAATGCAGATTAATGTCCTTTAATAACATTTTTATGAATTAGACCTTTAAGCTGTCATTATGAGACTTACTTTATTCATGCTGAATTTCATTTAAAATGTCAACTTCTCAAGATTCTACATTTCCTCAAGCACTATTGTCTCTGTTATATAGGTGATTTGGTAGCAATGGAATTAAATTTTTCACTTATAAAAACATAACAATTTGATTATATCCTACTTGGATATAAAAATAACCCATGTTTCTTTTATGAAAACTTCCTTGCCCCTGACTTTTTCTTCCTCAACAGCCAAGAGTACTCTTCCCTTTCTGTCTACCTGACTTTGAACACACATAAAAAATTTCCTCTTCCATCTCTTTCTCATTGGTTTGCCATTTTGTTTGTAACAGCTAGAGAAGAATTAGAGCATTTAAGCCCATTGATGTTCAGAAGATTAAAAATTAAATGTATCTACAGGATGTGAAAGTATCAGAATATTACCTTTCCCTGACAAAAGTATAATAAGCCCTGAAATGATGGCTGTATTCTGGCAGGGATCACAGAAGAGTGTGGTTGGGAAAGAAATCTTCCCTACAATGAGCAGCTCTGAGCCACAAATATGTTATTAGCTTCTGCATAAATTAACATCAGATGAAAGAAAAATTAAACGACTTACTTCTTACTTTCTAAGCCCTCACAATGGGCTTTTCTCTTGCTTTTAAATGTTTTTTATGCCATCTCAAAGCCAGACAATACACAATATTTAATTACAATTGCAAAGCTTTCTAAGATGCTGTTTCCACGAGGAAACAAATGCAAAATGTTTTATTTTTGTCTTATGTTTTGTTCCTCCCCTCTTTGCCCTTCTAGTGTAGAGATTATCCTAATTCTGTGTATCAGATGAGTGCTTTTATTCTAACACTGTGGCCAGAACTGATGTATTCCTGGTTCCAGTTAAGTAAATAAGAACTTGTTTCTTTAATAACAATGCATTCCAACATACCTCATCACTGTCACCTTGTTTTCTTAGAGTGGCAGAGATTGGCCTGGAACCCAGCTCACAATATGACCATGGAAAATTTTACATAAGCTGAAGATAAGTTCAATTACACGAGTGATTATTAGAGTTGTCCCATTGTTATCTACAGAGGGGTGTGGAGCACGAGAGAAAGCACAGGTGCTGGCACTGATGACCTTGGGCTGAATTCTGTCCATGACTCTTCCTAGTTGTGTGACCTTGGGCAATGTGCTATGGCACACCGAATTTCATTTTCCTCATTTGAAAAGTGGAGCTAATAAAATCTACCTCACGCTTGTAATCCCAGCACTTTGGGAGGCCGAGGCGGGCGGATCACGAGGTCAGGGGATCGAGACCATCCTGGCTAACACGGTGAAACCCCGTCTCTACTAAAAATACAAAAAAAAATTAGCCGGGCGTGATGGTGGGCGCCTGTAGTCCCAGCTACTCGGGAGGCTGAGGCAGGAGAATGGCGTGAACCCTGGAGGCGGAGCTTGCAGTGAGCCGAGATTGCGCCACTGCACTCCCGCCTGGGCCACAGAGCGAGACTCCGTCTCAAAAAAAAAAAAAAAAGAAAAAAAAAAAAAGTCTACCTTGCTTACTTGTGAGAAATGGAGATAACTGGGCTAAAATGCCTGGAACAGAGTAGATGTAGAAAAATAATGATAATAATGACAAGCTATTACTATATTTTACAAATAATAAAAATCTGACCACATATAATCTTTTTAGGTAATTTTTTAGGTGTGACATTTACTGATCTCTTTGAGTAAATGCAACTTTATTCTTATTTTTCTATATCCAGGGAGGGTATGTCTAGAATATTTTGTATTAAGAAACTAAAGGGAAAAAAATACCCATAAGCAAGACAGAAACATGTTATGAAGGGTACTGTACTGCAATGAAGTGGATTCAAGTCTCAATTTTGCTATAATTAGTAGTCATTACCTTATGCAACTATAGATGAATGTTGTATCTTCTGTCTTCAACCATAAAAGGCAGAGAAATGAGTAGAATGTGTTTGAGTCCCCTTTCACCTGTTTATTCCTTATTTACCAAGTGAAATATGCATCATCTTGCATTTATTTTCTAATTTTCCTGGGAATGGGTAACCTAAAAAGAGTTGCAAATATCGATGGCATGTTGTCTGGTTTTGATATGGCTTAAAATTGTTTAAAGCAAGAGAAAAGTCCATTTTAGAGGCTTAAAATGAATATGTATGTATATAATATATATATACATATACATATTATATATATTTTTTTGGACAAGTGATGATAAAGATTAGGAAAAAAAAAAAGAAAGCTTTGTTTTGAAAATTAAAGCCTGAGACCATAGGAGGTGGCTTGGTTTTTAAAAGGTGGATCAGGGTAAACCTTTCTGAATGGGCAATTGGAAAGATTATTGAAAAAAGTGGAAGAGCTTTGGGCTATTAGGGAGAAGACTTTTCAGCAGAGGAAAAATACCTGCAGAGATCCTGAAATGACAGCAGGCTAGATAAATTCAAAGAAGAGCCAGGCCTGGCTGGGCACGGTGGCTCACACCTGTAATCTCAGCACTTTGGGAGGCTGAGGCAGGTGGATCACGAGGTCAGGAGATCGAGACCATCCTGGCTAACAAGGGGAAATCCCGTCACGACTAAAAATACAAAAAATTAGCCAGGGGTCAAACGTTTAAGTCTTTAATCCATCTTGAATTGATTTTTGTATAAGGTGTAAGGAAGGCATCTAGTTTCAGCTTTCTACATATGGCTAGCCAGTTTTCCCAGCACCATTTATTAAATAGGGAATCCTTTCCCCATTGCTTGTTTTTCTCAGGTTTGTCAAAGATCAGATAGTTATAGATATGCGGCGTTATTTCTGAGGGCTCTGTTCTGTTCTATTGATCTATATCTCTGTTTTGGTACCAGTACCATGCTGTTTTGGTTACTGTAGCCTTGTAGTATAGTTTGAAGTCAGGTAGTGTGATGCCTCCAGCTTTGTTCTTTTGGCTTAGGATTGACTTGGCGATGTAGGCTCTTTTTTGGTCCCATATGAACTTTAAAGTAGTTTTTTCCAATTCTGTGAAGAAAGTCATTGGTAGCTTGATGGGGATGGCATTGAATCTGTAAATTACCTTGGGCAGTATGGCCATTTTCATGATATTGATTCTTCCTGCCCATGAGCATGGAATGTTCTTCCATTTGTTTGTATCCTCTTTTATTTCATTGAGCAGTGGTTTGTAGTTCTCCTTGAAGAGGTCCTTCACATCCCTTGTAAGTTGGATTCCTAGGTATTTTATTCTCTTTGAAGCAATTGTGAATGGGAGTTCACTCATGATTTGGCTCTCTGTTTGTCTGTTGTTGGTGTATAAGAATGCTTGTGATTTTTGTACATTGATTTTGTATCCTGAGACTTTGCTGAAGTTGCTTATCAGCTTAAGGAGATTTTGGGCTGAGACAATGGGGTTTTCTAGATATACAATCATGTCGTCTGCAAAGAGGGACAATTTGACTTCCTCTTTTCCTAATTGAATACCATTTATTTCCTTCTCCTGCCTAATTGCCCTGGCCAGAACTTCCAACACTATGTTGAATAGGAGTGGTGAGAGAGGGCATCCCTGTCTTGTGCCAGTTTTCAAAGGGAATGCTTCCAGTTTTTGCCCATTCAGTATGATATTGGCTGTGGGTTTGTCATAGATAGCTCTTATTATTTTGAAATACGGCCCATCAATACCTAATTTATTGAGAGTTTTTAGCAAGAAGGGTTGTTGAATTTGTCAAAGGCCTTTTCTGCATCTATTGAGATAATTATGTGGTTTTTGTCTTTGGCTCTGTTTATATGCTGGATTACATTTATTGATTTGCGTATGTTGAACCAGCCTTGCATTCCAGGGATGAAGCCCACTTGATCATGGTGGATAAGCTTTTTGATGTGCTGATGGATTTGTTTTGCCAGTATTTTATTGAGGATTTTTCCATCAATGTTCATCAAGGATATTGGTCTAAAATTCTCTTTTTTGGTTGTGTCTCTGCCAGGCTTTGGTATCAGAATGATGCTGGCCTCATAAAATGAGTTGGGGAGGATTCCCTCTTTTTCTATTGATTGGAATAGTTTCAGAAGGAATGGTACCAGTTCCTCCTTGTACCTCTGGTAGAATTTGGCTGTGAATCCATCTGGTCCTGGACTCTTTTTGGTTGGTAAGCTATTGATTACTGCCACAATTTCAGATCCTGTTATTGGTCTATTCAGAGATTCAACTTCTTCCTGGTTTAGTCTTGGGAGAGTGTATGTTAGACCTAAAACCATAAAAACCCTAGAAGAAAACCTAGGCATTACCATTCAGGACATAGGCATGGGCAAGGACTTCATGTCTAAAACACCAAAAGCAATGGCAACAAAAGACAAAATTGACAAATGGGATCTAATTAAACTAAAGAGCTTCTGCACAGCAAAAGAAACTACCATCAGAGTGAACAGGCAACTACAAAATGGGAGAAAATTTTCGCAACCTACTCATCTGACAAAGGGCTAATATCCAGAATCTACAATGAACTCAAACAAATTTACAAGAAAAAAACAAACAACCCCATCAAAAAGTGGGCAAAGGACATGAACAGACACTTCTCAAAAGAAGACATTTATGCAGCCAAAAAACACATGAAAAAATGCTCACCATCACTGGCCATCAGAGAAATGCAAATCAAAACCACAATGAGATACCATCTCACACCAGTTAGAATGGCAATCATTAAAAAGTCAGGAAACAACAGGTGCTGGAGAGGATGTGGAGAAATAGGAACACTTTTACACTGTTGGTGGGACTGTAAACTAGTTCAACCATTGTGGAAGTCAGTGTGGCGATTCCTCAGGGATCTAGAACTAGAAATACCATTTGACCCAGCCATCCCATTACTGGATATATACCCAAAGGACTATAAATCATGCTGCTATAAAGACACATGCACACGTATGTTTATTGCGGCATTATTCACGATAGCAAAGACTTGGAACCAACCCAAATGTCCAACAATGATAGACCGGATTAAGAAAATGTGGCACATATACTCCATGGAATACTATGAAGCCATAAAAAATGATGAGTTCATGTTCTTTGTAGGGACATGGATGAAATTGGAAATCATCATTCTCAGTAAACTATCACAAGAACAAAAAACCAAACACCGCATATTCTCACTCATAGGTGGGAATTGAACAATGAGATCACATGGACACAGGAAGGGGAATATCACACTCTGGGGACTGTTGTGGGGTGGGGGGAGTGGGGAGGGATAGCATTGGGAGATATACCTAATGCTAGATGACAAGTTAGTGGGTGCAGCGCACCAGCGTGGCACATGTGTACATATGTAACTAACCTGCACAATGTGCACGTGTACCCTAAAACTTAAAGTATAATAATAAAAGAAAATAAATAAATAAATGAATTACCTAAAAAGAAAAAATTAGCCAGGTGGCGTGGTGGTGGGCACCTGTAGCCCCAGCTGCTCCGGAGGCTGAAGCAGAAGAACGGCGTGAACCCAGGAGGTGGAGCTTGCAGTGAGCTGAGATTGTGCCACTGCACTCCAGTCTGGGCAACAGAGCCAGATTCCATCTCAAAAAAAAAAAAAAAAAAAAAAAAAGAAGAGCTAGGCCTAGTGAGGCCAGAGTAGAGGACTCAGGAGGGGAGTGTTGAGTGCTGCAGCCAAGATGTAGTAGGGCAGATCTCCTAGAATCTTTTTACTGGTATGAATTTTCCATTTCCCTGTGAGTAACATAGGAAGCCAGTGAGAGGTTTAAGCAGAGAAGTTATACAATTCTGAGTGATGGTTTAAGAAAAACTTTGGCTGTTGCTAGGTGGTCAAGTGTCTCATTGGATTTTGTGATCAAATTGAAAGGGAGAAGACTTAGGGAAAAAAATAATTCAGAACAAATATTCTTCTTCTATTTTTTTTTTCCAAAAATTTCCTCGGAATTTTATTTGGGACTCTGGAAGGCACGCAACTTTATAGCAACATGGTAAGAGTACCTCCCTTCACATTGTAATTAGGTTGCTATGACAGAAAAGCTTTTTAAATTAAGGACTTCACTTGAGTTATGTGGCATAACTAAGCTGGCCTTTCAGGCTCTGAATCCATTTTTTTTTTTGCCTTGACTTTTCTTTAGTGATAGCTGAATTATTCTCAGAAGTCTGCTCTTCTCATTATCAACTGTTAACAACAAACAACTAACAAGCAGCAATTCTACAGCACTTTCCAGTGACTACCCGAGACCTTTAGTCATACAATTTATTCACATAAATCAACAAATGCTTATCTAGTCTTATGCCAAAACCCTTTGCCTGTGTTTGGAGTTTTAAAAACCTCCTTCCAGTAATACTAGGTGTGACAGCAGTAAGTAAGAAAGTTCATAATTACAATAAGGACTTTGAGAAACAGTAGACGTGAAGCATGTGGGAATCAAGAGAGACATGCAACTCCCCATGGCTGAGTGGAGTGGAAAGCTACTCCTGGGGGTTGTAACCTCAGACTGAATCTAAAAGGGCCTGTGGGGCCCAGCATGAACTCTGGATAGCACGTGTTATTATAAATGCCAGCTGAAGGAACTGAGGTACAGTCATAGCTCATGTCTTGCAGATGCAGTTGAGAACTCAGTGAAGCTATATCATTCATGAAATAAATGTTGTAAAGGACTCTAGGTCTTATCTGTTTAAATTCAAACTTCTTCAAGATACCATACTACAGGCAGTGACCCAAGATTGTGGCCACTGCACTCTAGTCTGGGCCACAGAGTGAGATCAGTTTCAAAAAAAAAAAAAAAAGGTCGTTGTGAATGTTAGCTCCAGATCAACTGCAAGAACAAATCAGCAATCCCAAGAGGACCCACAGACCCTCTGAAGGAAGCAGACTGCTTCTGCAGGACCTGGGAGTCACCTCAAATACCGAGAGTGCCCCAACTGTGGAAGTGGGAAAGGGAGACCCTCTTCTCCCGAATACACACCCCCACTGTAGAAAATGATGGGCTGTTTGCAGGAGAAATTTCCAACTTTATCAGGAGCTGAGTCAATTTGGAGAGTTGAGCAAAATGCAGGGGCAGAGGAAGCAGCAGAAAGACACTGAGAGCTCGCTGGGTCCCCTAGCAGGCCATTCCTGCCTGGCACCACAGGGATTCATCAGGAGGGTGGTCAGAAGAGCAGGGGGTAAAACCACAGGGAGAAGAAAATCTCTAGCTGAACTTTGTAACAATTTGAATGGGGTGAGAAGCCTCCTGGCCAGAACTCCGGGGAGGGTGCAAATCTGGTGTGCAGACTCCACAGGCAGGGGAAGAACCAAGCCCTTTTCTTTTGCAGCTGGAAGGTGGGTAGCCTCGGGCAAGTTTTCAAGCCCATCTCGCCCTCCACCTGGAAACAGACTTGGGCTGTTGGCGGGGGACATGGTGGGAGTGAGACTGGCCCTTTGGTTAGCTTGGGAGCTGGGTGAGGCCTGTGACTGCTGGCTTTCCCCGACTTCCCTGTCAACCTGCATGACTCAGCAGAGACAGCCATAATCCTCCTACTTACACAACTCCAGTGACCTGGGAATCTCACCCCCATCCCCCACAGCAGCTACAGCAAGACCCACCCAAGGAGAGTCTGAGCCCAGACATTCCTAGCCCTGCCCCCGTTTGATGGTCCTTCCCTACCCACCCAGGTAGCAGAAGACAAAAGGCCACGCCCACTACTGGTCCCTCTCCATACTACTGCAGCTGATGCTCTCTGGAAAGCACCACCTCCTGCACTTTGGTGCAGGAGGCCAACCAGCACAATAATAGAGCATTAAACCACAAAAGCTAAGAACCCTCACAGAGTCCATTGCACTCCCCTGCCACCTCCACCAGAATAGGCACTGGTATTCGTGGCTGAGAGACCCACAGATGGTTCACATAACAGGACTCTGTGCAGACAACCCCAGTACCAGCCCAGAGCCGGGTAGACGCGCTGGGTGGCTAGACCCAGAAGAGAGACAACAATCACTGCAGTTTGGCTCACAGGAAGCCACATCCATAGGAAAAGGGGGAGAGTACTACATCAAGAGAACACCCTAGGGGACAAAAGAATCTGAACAACAGCCTTCAGCCCTAGACCTTCACTCTGACAGAGCCTACCCAAATGAGAAGGAACCAGAAAACCAACGCTGGTAATATGACAAAACAAGGCTTCTCAGCACACCCCAAAAATCATACTAGTTCACCAGCAAAGGATTCAAACCAAGAAGAAATCTCTGATTTACCTGAAAAAGAATTCAGGAGTTAGGTTATTAAGCTAATCAGGGAGGCACCAGAGAAAGGTGAAGCCCAGTGCAAGGAAATCCAAAAAACAATACAAGAAGTGAAGGGAGAAATATTCAAGGAAATAGATCGATTAAAAAAAATCAACAATTCAGGAAACTTTGGACACACTTTTAGAAATGTGAAATGCTCTGGAAAATCTCAGCAATAGAATCGAACAATTAAAAGAAAGAAATTCAGAGCTCTAAGACAAGGTCTTTGAATTAACCCAATCCAATAAAGACAAAGAACAGTGAATAAGAAAATATGAACAAAGCTTCCAAGAAGTCTGGGATTATGTTAAATGACCAAATCTAAGAATAATCGGTTTTCCTGAGGAATAAGAGAATTCTAAAATCTTGTAAAACATATTTGGGGGAATAATCAAGGAAAACTACTCCAGCCTTGCTAGAGACTTAGACATCCAAATACAAGAAGCACAAAGAACACCTGGGAAATTCATTGCAAAAAGATCATCACCTAGGCACATTGTCATCAGGTTATCCAAAGTTAAGATGAAGGAAACAATCTTAAGAGCTGTGAGAGAAGCACCAGGTAACCTCTAAAGGAAAAACCTATCAGATTAACAACAGATTTCTGAGCAGAAACCTTACAAGCCAGAAGGGATTGGGGCCCTATCTTCAGCCTCCTCAAACAGAACAATCATCAGCCAAGAATTTTGTATCCAGTGAAACTAAGCATCATATATGAAGGAAAGATGAAGTCTTTTTCAGACAAACAAATACTGAGAGAATTCGCCATTACCAAGCCACCAGTACAAGAACTGCTAAAAGGAGCTCTAAATCTTGAAACAAATCCTGGAAACACATCAAAACAGAACCTCTTTAAAGCATAAATCACATAGGCCCTATAAGACAAAAATAGAAGTTGAAAAGCAAAAACAAAATAACCAAAGTACACAGGCAACAAAGAGCACAATGAATGCAATGGTGCCTCCCATTTCAATACTAACATTGAATGTAAACGGCCTAAATGCTCCACTTAAAAGATACAGAACCACAGAATGGCTAAGAAATCACCAACCAACTATCTGCTGCCTTTAGGAGACTCACCTAAGACTTAAGGACACACATAAACTTAAAGGAAAGGGGTAGAAAAAGGCATTTCATGCAAACAGACACCAAAAGCAAGCAGAGGTAGCTATTCTTATATCAGACAAGAAAAACAGACAAGAAAAACCTTAAACCAACAGCAGTAAAAAGAGACAAAGAGGGACATTATATAATGGTAAAAGGTCTTGTCCAACAGGAAAATATTGCAATCCTAAATATATATGCACCTAACACTGGAGCTCCCAAAGTTATAAAACAATTACTAACAGACCTAAGAAATTAGATAGATAGCAACACAAAAATAGTGGGGGACTTTAATACTCCACTGACAGCACTAAACTGATCATCAAGACAGAAAATCAACAAAGAAACAATGGATTTAAACTATATCTTGGAACAACTGGACTTAACAGATATATACAGAACATTTCATCCAACAACCACAGAATACACATTCTATTCAATAGTGCACGGAACTTTCTCCAAGATAGATCATATGGTAGGCCATAAAATGAGCCTCAATAAATTTAAGAAAACTGAAATTATATCAAGCACTCTCTCAGACCACAGTGGAATAAAACTGGAAATCAACTGCAAAAGGAATCTTCAAAACCATGCAAATACATGGAAATTAAATAACCTGCTCCCAAATGAGCACTGGCTCAAAAACAAAATCAAGAAGGAAATTTAAAAATTATTTGAACTGAATGACAATAATAACCAACCTACCAAAACCTCTGGGATTCAGCAAAGGCAGTGCTGAGAGGAAAGTTCATGGCCCTAAATGCCTACATCAAAAAGACTAAAAAAGCAAAAATTGACTTCTAAGGTCACACCTCATAGAACTAGAGAAACAAGAGCAAACCAAACCCAAACCCAGCAGAAGAAAGAAATAACCAAGATCAGAGCAGAAATAAATAAAATTGAAACAACAACAAAAAAATACAAAAGATAAATGAAATAAAAAGCTGGTTCTTTGAAAAGATAAATAAAATTGATAGACCATTAGCAAGATTAACCAAGAAGAGAAGAGAGAAAATACAAATAACTTCACTAAGAAATGAAACAGGAGACATTACAATTGACACCACTGAAATAAAAAAGATCACTCAAGGCTATTATGAACACCTTTACCCACATAAACTAAAAACCTAGAAGAGATGGATAAATTCCTAGAAAAATACATCCCTCCTAGTTTAAATCAGGAAGAATTAGATACCCTAAGCAGACCAATAACAAGCAGCAAGACTGAAATCATAATTTAAAAATTACCAACAAAAAAAAGTCCAGGACCAGTTGGATTCACAGAATTCTACCAGACATTCCAAGAAGAATTGGTGCCAATACTTTTGACACTATTCCACAAGATAGAGAAATAAGGAATTCTCCCCAATTCATTTTATGAAGTCAGTATTACCTGAATACCAAAATCAGGAAAGGACATAATGAAAAATGAAAACTACAGACCAATATCCTTGATGAACATAAATGTTAAAATCCTTAACAAAATACTAGCTAACGGAATCCAATAACATATCAAAAAGATAATCCACCATGATCAAGTGGGTTTCATACCAGGGATGAAGGGATGGTTTAACATATGCAAGTCAATAAATTCAATACACCACATAAACAGAATTAAAAACGAAAATCATATGATCATCTCAATTGATGCAGAAAAAGCATGAGACAAAATCCAGCATCACTTTGTGATTAAAACTCTCAGCAAAATCAGCATTCAAGGGACATACCTTAATGTAATAAAAGCTTTCCATGAAAAACCCACAGCCAACATATATTGAATGGGTAAAAGTTGAAAGCATTCCCTCTGAGAGCTGGAACAAGACAAGGATGTCCACTCTCACCACTTCTCTTCAACATAGTACTAGAAGTCCTAGCCAGAGCAATTAGACAAGAGAAAGAAATAAAGAGCATTCAGATCGGGAAAGAGGAAGTCAAACTGTCACTATTTGCTGACGATATGATCTTTTACCTTGAAAAACCTAAAGACTCCTCTAGAAAGCTCCTAGAACTGATAAAATAATTCAGCACAGTTTCCAGATACAAGATTAATGTACACATATCAGCAGTTCTTCTATACATCAGCAACAACCAAGCAGAAAATTAAATCAAGAGCTCAATTCCTTTTACAATAGTTGCAAAAAAAAAACGTAAGATAGTTAGGAATATGCCTAACCAAGGAGTCGAAAGACCTCTACAAGGAAAACTACAAAACACTGCTGAAAGCAATTATAGACAACACAAACAAATGGAAACACATCCCACGCTTATGGATGGATATAATCAATCTTGGGAAAATGACCATACTGCCAAAAGCAATCTGCAAATTCAATGCAATCCCCAACAAAATACCACCGTAATTCTTCGCAGAGTTAGAAAAAACAATTCTAAAATTCATATGGAACCACAAAAGAGCCCACATAACCAAAACAAGACTAAGCAAAAAGTACAAATCTGGACGCATCACACTACCTGATTTCCAACTATACTATAAGGCCATAGTCACCAAAATATCATGGTACTGTTATAAAAATAGGCACATAGATCAATGGAACAAAATAGAGAACCCATAAATAAACCCGAATACTTACAGCCAACTGATCTTCGAAAAAGCAAACAAAAACATAAAGTAGGGAAAGGACACCCTTTTCAACAAATGGTGCTGGGATAATTGGCTAGCCACATGTAGGAGAATGAAACTGGATCTTCATCTCTCACCTTATACAGAAATCAACCCAAGATGGATAAAGGATTTAAACCTAAGACATGAAACTATAAAAATTCTAGAAGATAACATTGGAAAAACCCTTCTAGACATTCATTGCCTTAGGCAAAGATTTCATGACCAATAACCCAAAAGCAAATGCAATAAAAACAAAGATAAATAGCTGGGACCTAATTAAACTAAAGAGCTTTTGCACAGCAAAAGGAACAGTTGGCAGAGTAAACAGACAACCCACAGAGTGGGAGAAAATCTTCACAATCTATACATCTGACAAAGGACTAATATCCAGAATCTACAACAAACTCAAACAAGACAGTAAGAAAAAAAACAGACAATCTCATCAAAAAGTGGGCTAAGGACATGAATAGACAATTCTCAAAAGAAGATATACAAATGGCCAACAAAAATATGAAAAAATGCTCAACATCACTAATGATCAAGGAAATGCAAATCAAAACCACAATGAAACACCACCTTACTCCTGCAAGAATGGCCATAATAAAAAAAATAAAAAAACAGTAGTGGCATGTATGTGGTGATTAGGGAACACTTCTACACTGCTGGTGGGGATGTAAACTAGTACAGCCACTATGGAAAACAGTGTGGAGATTCTTTGAAGAACTAAAAGTAGAACTACCATTTGATCCAGCAATCCCACTACTGAGTATCTACCCAAAGGAAAAGAAGCCATTATTTGAAAAAGATTGAACACGCATGTTTATAGCAGCACAATTCACAATTACAAAATTGTGAAACCAAACCAAATGCCCATCAGTCAATGAGTGGATAAAGAAACTGTGGTGTGTGTGTGTGTGTGTGTGTGTATGTATATATATACATGATGGAATACAACTCAGCCATAAAAAGGAATGAATTAACAGCATTTGCAGTGACCTGGATGAGATTGGAGACTATTATTCTAAGTGAAGTAACTCAGGAATGGAAAACCAAACATCGGGTGTTCTCACTAATTTGTGGGAGCTAAGCTATAAGGACACAAAGACATAAGAATGATACAATGAACTTTGCGGACTTGGGGGAAGAGTGGGAGGGGGACGAGGGACAAAAGACTACAAATACGGTGCAGTGTATACTTCTCGGATGATGGGTGCACCAAAATCTCACAAATCACCACTAAAAAATTTACTCATGTAACCAAATACCACCTGTACTCAATAACTGACGGAAAAATGTTAAAAAATGATATCATACTACCTTTTTCCCTTTGAGCCTCCGAAAGGTGTGATGAAAGGATTTTAATAATCACTTTATTTTACATGGTCAAACAAGGTAAAAAAATATGTTTTAGTTTGGGTTGGAACCACAGTAATTTCAAGACAATAAGAAATTATACTATTAGAATAAAGCACATGAGCTTGTATGCACTAGAATATACTTCATTCTCAGGTAAAAGTCTACACATCTTATAACCTGTGAGGAAATGGGCTCAGGAAAGATGACGAATGTGGCCAACTTCACAGGTCATATGAGTCAGGGTCCCCAACCCCTGTGCTGCAAGCCAGTATTGGTCAGTGCCCTGTTAGGAACTAGGGTGCACAGCAGGAGGTGAGCAGAGTGCAAATGAGCATTACTGCCTGAGCTCCGCCTCCTGTCGGATCAGCAGCTGCATTAGATTCTCATAGGAGAGCAAACCCTCTTGTGAACTGCACATGCAAGGGATCTAGGTTGCATGCTCCTTATGAGAATCTAATGCCTGATGATCTGAAGTGGAACAGTTTCATCCTGAAACCATCCCTCCTCTCACCCCTGTCCCCGGGAAAATTGTCTTCCAGGAACCAGGTTCCTGGTGCCAAAAAGGTTGAGGAATGCTGATGTAAGTGACAGAACAAAATTTAAATCTAAAGATGATCACAAACCCTGTTTCTCTCCTGCAACATGGATAATGAAGCTTGAGATAGATATACTCTGTGAAAAACTTTCAAGCTGATTGAGTCATGGGCAGAAAAGAAGTGCCACCTTTTACTTCATCAATGCCAAACTTATCTTTCAACTGTCTCACAACCAAAGTTATTTGACTTCACGATTTTTTTTTCATATTTCTGAATTTAGTATGCAAAAGGAAAGGTAACGAGAAAGATTATTCAATACATTTCAAATTGCAAAAATGTTTCTATGTTAATTAAACTTAGCATTTAAAATGGATAAGGTAGATTTCTCCCAAACCTTTTGAAAATGATAAAGCTTTTTACATGAGTGATTGCATTTATTTAAAATGGGTTGTGTTTATATAGCTGAGGGGTGCCATGTCTGTTCTTTCTCACTTTCTATATAGAGTGAAACAAAAAAGGCAACCACTGTGTGTGTGTGTGTGTGTGTGTGTGTGTGTGTCTGTGTGTGTTAGAGAAACAAAGAGAGAAGAAAAGAGGAGCGAGACGGGAGAAGGAAAAGGAGATGCTATATTTTATTTTTCCACTCAGTGCTTTTGCATTTCAGAAGGCAAATGCTCAAAGTTTACTGACTTGGACTCAGAGGAGAAGCTCAATTCACATGCACTTATCTCTTTAGATAACTCCATAAATTACAAATGCTTTTGTTTGTTTGTTTGGTGTTGCTGACTTTTGGAAATTCCTAAAAAACTCTTTTAAATTTTTATGCAGAATCATTGCTTACTCAAGATGTTTTATTGTAAGCTTTCCTAAAGTGTCTTGTAGAAATAGTAAAGAAAACATAAATATAAGTTTCTTTTCTAACAACTTTTCATTTACAATATCATGTTACTTACATAAAATTACTGTTTCCATATTTTATCTATATGTTTTTCTACATTTTTCTGTAATTGGAAATGGATTGCAAGAATATTTCATTACATTTAAAATGTCAAGGATGCCTAGAAACGTTAGAAAATTGAGCTTTTTCTTTTCATGACTAAATTATCAGTACAAGAAAAAGTTGGTTGCAACTCAAAACCAAAACATACATTACCTTAAAGTACTATTTCAAAGATACTGCTATTTTTATAACAGTTTTGGACTTGATTTATTAAATAAATTAATAAGACCCAATAGCTATTTTAAAATATGATTTGACTTTAAAATAAAAAATTACTAGTATATGGGACACATGTGTAAGTCTGATTTTCAAATGAAGCCTTTCAATTTTTTAAATTTGCCTAATGGATATCCATTCTTAAAATAGAAGCAAGTGCCCATATAAAGACCACAACTTTTTAAGTTGTAATCATTTCAATATGCTGAGTTCAGGCTTATTTGAACTGATGCACTACATGAGAGATTTTACCGTCTCTTATGGATTAAAACAAACTAGTAACACATTATGTCTTCTACTTCTTAATATAAGTTTTATTCTAGTAAATTACAAATGTTTTTATATAAAATTCTCATTTAATTGAAGCAGGCATTTTTTTTTTCTTTTTTTGAGACAGGGCCTCACTTTGTTACCCAGGCTAGAGTGCAGTCGTGGGATCTCGGCTCACTGCAACCTCTGTTTCCCAGGCTCAAGTGATCCTCCCACCTCATCTTCCTGAGTAGCTGGGACTACAGGCATATGCCTCCATGCCCGGCTAATTTTTATATTTTTTGTAGAGATAGGGTTTCGCCATGTTGCCCAGGCTGGTCTCTAACTCCTGAGCTGAAGCGATCCACCCACCTTGGCCTCCCAAAGTGTTGGGGATTACAGCATTCCTTATCCTTTATTAAATGAGCAATTTCCAAGACTGTTTACTCCATCTATGTAAAATACACTTGGTCTTGAAGATGCAGCCACTTTTCTCACTCATTCTAGAGAGGGAAAGGATGACGCCATTTGGAATTGTAACAAGCTGGTATAATAGGAAGAAATATTTATGTCAAACAGACCAGATCGCAAACAAATGTTTTATAAGGAAAAATTGGTACTTGTAAGCAAGAGCATTGGAGGAAACATTCTTTTTTATAAAATGTTTTATGAGAAAATTTGCTGACACAAGGAAGTTTCACTTAGAATTCCATAACAAGAAAGAGATTAGATCAAATTCGCTCAAATTCACAAACTGTGTCATCCTTCTTCTTTGGTCTTTTACAAGTCAAAATGCAAGTAAAAAACCATTTCTTTTATACTAGCATTAACAGTTAGGAAAGGGCTGTGAAGCAGGAAACTGGCCCTGATCTCAACAGAAGGCCCTTTTCCTGTTTCCCGCATCATGGGGGAACATTCCTGGTCTTCAGAGTAAATACCTCTTGATACTGAACAGTCAAGACAGACAGATGCCCCTATCTATCTTGGCAGCTGTAGAGGGTAAGAAAAACAAAACTGCTTCCTCTTATGGATAGGACAGTGAGAAAAAGTTAATTGTTTTCACAAAAGGTCTTTTTAATAATCAATAACAGGAAATCAAAACCAATATAACAAAAGAAGAAAGTTGTAAGTTTAGAGATACAAGTTTCTTGTCTATTAAAATATATTTATAGCTCATAATTCATGGGGAACTCTCATTTCTTTCCCTTTTCATTTTCCTTTTTTTTTCTTTTGATGCTTTGTCACCTATTTGTTTTTGTGTTTTTAAGAAAATTTACTCAACAGTTATTAATACTTACCTACTTTTCCATGACACTAAGCTGAATTATACTTGTTTTAACATATTAACTGAAAGATACCTATGTTACCTCAGGCCAAGCCCTAGTACAGTGTTTCAGTTAAAAAAATAAAAAACAAGAGTCTAAAATTCTAAGAAAAAATTGAAAATATGTTTAAATCTTTATTGAAATATCTCAAATAGTCAACATCATATGATCCAAAACAAAATATTCTAAAGATTCCATTCGTAATCTAGTTTCCCAAGCCTCCGCCATCACAGCTTTCTCTCCAAAATTCTTTTTTCTTCCGAAAGCACTACTAAATCCTACTAGTAAATATCATCTGGCAGATGAGGAAACCCAGTCTTTCAGAGATTAAGGGAACTAATAAAAATCTTACAGTTGATCCTTTAGTTCAAACTCATGACTACTGCATCCTCATTTATATGTAGCAGAGAGAAAATTTAGAGTCAAGAGTAGATGAGCATAATTTTCTAATTGACAAATGTAAATTTTCCTGGCCAGTCTTTGTGTTATCCATCTCTCTGGAGCACTGGGGCCTGTTATACCCTTTTCTCTTTCATATTCTCTCATCTTTGGCTTTATCAGTTTGTATTCTAATGATATTTGTGATAGCTAATTTTATGCATCAATTCGGGTAGGCTTTGGTAACACTTATTTGATCAAAGATAAGTCTAGATGTTTCTACAAAGGTAGTTTTTAGATGTAATTCACATTTAAATCATAGACTTTGAATAAAGCAGATTACCCTCTGTAATGTGGGATGGGCCTTGTCTAATCAGTTGAAGGCCTTAAAGAGAAAAGACTGAAGTCCCCCAAGGAGGAAGGAAGTCTTCTTTCAGACTGCCTTCAGACTCAAGACTGCAAAACAAACTATTCCCTGGGCCCTCAGACTGCCTGCATGCCCTGCAGATTTTGGACTTACTAGCCCCTGCAGCTGCATCAGCCAATCCTTTAACATAAATAATATTTTCTCAATAAATAGATAGAGAGATAGATGTCTCCTACTGGTTTTGTTTCTCTGGAGAATGCTGACTAAATCAATGTGTTCTACATTTCCTTTCTTGGGTCTATGCTGTGTTCTAAACAGCCTCAGATTCATGGCTGACCTGCTCTTTAGTTATGTTTGAAGCTAACCTTTGTATGACAGTGTTTTTGAGATCATTTGCTCTTTAGGAAATTGATGAGTATTATCAGAAATAGAAATATTTCTGTGATTAAAAAAAAAGGGGAACACTGGTTTAAAAAAGTTAAACAGATTTCCTTAACATACAGAATTTTTGGATCCTTTGATATATGTGTGTGTGCATTGTAAATGCAAAAGAAAAAATATAATATATTAAGCTGCCCAAAAGTGTTTTGTCATGAAAACTGTTTTTAACAAATAATATCATAGAACTAGAGTTTCTCATAACATATTCCAAGAAATGCTGTGCCAGGGCTAACTTATGACTTCAATATCTATATCTCCCTCATTTGTAAACTCCTGACTCATATATTCAGTTGTCCACTGCAGATTACCACTTATGTGGATCAAGCTCAGCATCCTGCCTGACATGTGGTCTCCATGTTCTCTCCAGGTCCCTCTCCACCCCGACCCTTATGGGTTACATTAATCAAGCCCCATGTCCTCTGAATGTGGGCTGTTTTGGCCTATAAGAGCAACATCCAGAGATAATACAGTAAGACAAAGAGAGAGATCTGGGCATCTATTCTCTAGTTTCCTCCCAGGCTCACTGAGAATTTTACATACATCATTTTACAGAGTGTTGGTTGGTGGTTGTGGTCCCCTACTGAAGGACATGACCTTCAGATGTTCTGATTGGACATCTCTTCCCTAAAGCTATAAGGCTTTCTGGATGTCTAAACCATTCTATTCTCTTGCCTCTTCAGGCATAGGAGTGATAAAGGCTTCCTACTTTGGCTAGCTCTTGGGGCTCCACCATAACCCTGCAAACCTTTAAAAGTACTATATTCATTAAACTCTTTTAATCACTCATGCAAGTGTTCCAGGGACCCCAATACACCCAGCAAGCCCCAAATGTAACTCATTATTATCTCTCAAAACCTGTTCTTATTCTTAATGCCATTCAATTAACCAAATCAGATAAGAACTTTAGCAATTATACTCAGCTCTAACACTTAATTGCCATTTTAGGATAATGGAAATAGACTGAGCCTTGGTAGGAGACACCTGGCTTTCAATTCCAGTTATACCATTTTTAGAGCTGTGTTATCTTAGGCAATTTACTTGATTTCTCCGATCTTCTCTTTAAAATGACATAAATCATATTCACTACTTGTAGTTGTTTTGAGAGTAAAATGTGATTGTTTAAAAGAAAAGTAGCATAAGTTTTCCCATGGGCAGTATTCTCCTAAATTTGTCTTATACTCCCAACTCTTAAGCTCACCACTCACCAATTCATCCTTTCTATAGTTGACACATAATCTTGAAAACAAAGTTAATCATACTACTCTCTGCTCAATTGCTTAAGCAGTACCACACAGTCTATCAGGACATGTAAAAGCTTTAGCTGTGTATACAAAACATTCCAAGATATGGTTCCAGTCCTGTATTGAAAAATTATATTAGAGTTTTATGTATACTGACCAATGTCATGAAAGCAATCACCTTACTAGCTTCTGTGGATACCAATAAAGAGCTACCATAAAATTAATGGTTTTTATATGTATAAGAAATTTCCTGATGTAAAAAATATTAACAGCAACCAATGGTTGAGTATCTAACTGTGCTAGAAAATGTGCTATATTGTTATTAGCAACTCTTTAAGTTAAATAGGTGGTAAAAGTAGTTTGGTTTATATATTTTATCATAATTTGTAACTAAAGGGCAATCCTATTAAAAATCACCAAAAGATATGACTTTATTTCTCCACAAAACAAAGAAAAATATTATATTGACCTGAAGTTCAATAAAATCTATTGTGTCATGGAGTTAATGAAATAAAAATTGAGGCCAAATTTCTATTTTATTATTTTATTTTATTTTTTTACTTCTCAGGATATATCTCACTGAGGAGCTAAGGTAATAAAGTTCTTGGTTTAATAGAATTGTAAATAAAACCTTACTAGCTCCTGTAGAATATTGTCTTCAGATGCATCCTATGGTAAAAAATTATCCTATAATAAATTTTATATAATGTTCTTTTCTCCTCTGTATCTATACAAATTCAACTAACTTACTCTTTATGGCTCAATGAAAGACTTGAGGTTTCACTTGATAACCTTGCCTCATTTATATCTCATCTTCCTCCTTTTACAGCCTTTATGATTTATGTAACTTATTTTTGTGTTTCAGTAAATAATGCTTCATAGTATTATCCATTGTCCCAACAACTTTAACATCTCTATCATATCTACAGTTGCTATTTAACCACTGGGCAAAGCTATGTAGGGTTCACTCTGTTCTTCTGGCAGTTTATTACCAATCTACCAGCCTGAAAAATACAGGTGTGAAATCTTTGGGTATAAAAGCATAGAGGGACTTTAGAGACTATTTAAGTTTGGTTCATAGGTGAAGAAATTGAGGCCCTAAGAAGTCAATTGATTTGTCAAAGACCATGCAACTCATTAGTATCAAAGCTGAGATTGGGCAGGACTCTGGTCTTCTCTCTAGAGTTCTCTTGTTCACATACAAGTGTTAGCATTTATAATATTATTTATAATTGCAAGACTAAGTACTAGTTATATATTTATTCAACAAGATATAGGGTACTTGATAGTAATTCACCTTTCTCTATTCGACTTCATTCATGTAAATTGCAGCTGTTTAATGAAATATTAAAAGTAATTTAAGTATAACTTAACTTCTTCCTTCCACATCTTTGCCACAACAGAGGAGTCCTGGTAATTTTATACTAAATGCCCAATAATTACATGTGGGTGAAAGTAGTGGGAAAGAAATTATCTGGTATTGTTGATTAAAGATGAATGGAATCATATATGGTAATTTTGCTTATACAAGGATTTTATGAAACAACTTTTCTGCCTTCCTTGGTAATCGGGAAGAGGGCGGGCAACATTGCCTGAAGTTGTTCTGTTTAACCGCTGAGGATTCTGAGAAATACAGTTCTTGAGGTAACAGGTTAGCAGAGATGCTGAAAAACATTTGATGATAAAGGACCTTTCATGCTAAGAGCTAAAATCACCTATAATGTTAATATTATAAGATACTATTTGATTTGAGGAAAAACCTCACATAAGTCAGCCCAATTTTTGAAAGAAATGGATAACTACAGTGTCCCTTTGAACTTGTAGGCGTTTCAGCCCTAGTAAGAGCTCCCAATAGACACGGGAATTCAAAATTGCTTAAAAGATGAGAATTAATATTATATTTACATTAGGTTCATTTTAAATTAGTTTCAGTTATATCCATAATTAAATACAAATTTACAACAATGACCACAATGATGATGTGAAGTGGTTATTGTACAAGATCTTTTCAAAACCTATTGTAGCCAATTTTTCCTGGCCAAACAAATTCTAAAACATAAAATAAGAGTCAAAGGAAATAAATGATTTAATATATAATTAGTCCCTTTGTATCAAAAAATTCAAAGTAATAAAAGCTTCATTATGGCAGACAAAGCACGCAATGTGGGGACAACACAGAAATCCAAGAAAGGCAAGACCAATTTCAAGGCACTAAATAAGTGGACTGAGACAAGAAGTACACAGATACTTCCCAGAACAAAGTAAGTACTGTGCAAGTTTTGTTTCTTAAATGCTATGAAAGCACAAAGAAGGCTTTTATGGGCTTTAAAGACGTGTAGTATTGGCTTTACAGATTTGTAGTATTCTTTTACCCATACAGAGCCACATTTTTTTTAGATTTCTACTAATGAAGTTTTATTTGTTTCTAGTCTCCTGTGAACAAATTTAATAATCTAGTCTCTATATGAGCTCTACTTTTAAAAAACATTAAAATTGAAATATGTACATTCTCCTACATTTTGACCTGATATAATTGTATTCCTCAAATATAACAGCATACTTTAGTGCCACATGAAAGTTCCTCCTTTTTACATAAAGCCTTTATTTTTTTTTTCTTTTTGCAGCTTGGTTCTAAGGAAGTTCCAGACTAAAATAGTGCATCAAGAGGACTGGCATAATCAGCCTCACTAAAAACAGCCTGATTAATACTAAATATGTCCTAGCTCCTAATCAATTATGTTAACGAAGTCATAGGCAGCACATCTGCAAGCCCTGACAAAGCCCATGATCTCAGCATTGCCTGATAATATAGACTCCCCGAGCTGCTCAGGGTTAGCAGCCTTCAAGCTTTCAGAGAAGACACTGACAAAGGCTTGTGATCCTCAAACCTTGTTATTTTATTCACCACAGCCTATTACTAGGTTCTGGGATGAACTGTCAAATTACATTGCTCTTTAAATAAAATAACAGGAGCTCATGCCTGTAATCCCAGCACTTTGGGAGGCCAAGGAGGGTGGATCACGAGGTCAGGAGATTGAGACCATCCTGGCTAACACGGTGAAACCCCGTCTCTACTAAAAATACAAAAAATTAGCCAGGCATGGTGGCGGGCGCCTGTAGTCCCAGCTACTCGGGAGGCTGAGGCAGGAGAATGGCGTGAACCCGGGAGGCGGAGCTTGCAGTGAGCCGAGATGGTGCCACTGCACTTCCAGCCTGGGCAGCAGAGCAAGACTCCGTCTCAAGAAAAAAAAAAAATAAATAATAAATAAATAAATAAATAAATAAATAAATACAATAACAGAACCTAAGCGTCCTACTTAACAAATGACACATCCTTTTCCAAGTGACAGATTGCTAAGCAAAATATTTGCTACTTGGTGTTTTATGAGCCTCTGCTAGGAGATAACTTGGCATCAAACACTTGAATAATCTGACTATCAAAGTCTCCCTCAAGTTGGGAAATCTGAATTCGTTGCTTTATGTCCATCTGGAAACAACAACAGAATTAGAATCCCATGAAAAATTAAGGCAACGCTATTATTTATAGGGGTTGTCTTGTCCAATGAACATTTTGGCGAGTGAGATAGTTTTGTGTCAAATTCTCTTAAGTCATGTGAACTATTATAGTCCAAATGCCAAAATAAATGTAATTCTGATTTTTTTGGTCTATTTTCTTTCTGTTTTTTTTTTTTTGGACTGGTTGTTTGTAAATCACTTGTTTACTCTCTAGGTAAGTGATATACAATAGTAACCTCTTCCTGGATGAATCCTCATGAGTGTCATCACTTAGGCTCAAGGGATGGCCAAAGCCAACGGGCAGTTGTTGAGCTGAGTGGGAAGATCTTGAACAAGCAGGCTGGAGTGTCCACATTGCACACAGAAGATCTTTTCCAATTTGGGACTGAGCTAGGTGTTTCTACCCCTTTCTAGGGTGGCTGTGATCTGAGGAAGACCTCCATTTGTACTGTTGTAAAAAATTAATGATTTAGCTTTAATTACTGGTGTTTTATATAGGCAAATTGAGTCTTGACAGAGAAGGAACTGTTTTCTATTCATCTCTGAATCCCCAGTATTTTGGACAATATCTGAAATGATCCCATGTTTGGGATTTAATAAAAGTTTAAGAAATGAATGAAGACTTAAAGAAATGACTTTAACGTTCCAGCAAAATTTATTACAAAGCTGATCTTGAGACATCATATTTTCAAGAATTATTAGTAGTATTAACCACCAGTTGTATATAGTACTTATAAACTATACATATACATAAAACAGTATTTGTGTGTGTGTGAGTGTGTGTGTATATATATATTTCAATCCTCACAATAACGCTAGGAGATCAGTGCTCTGCTTATATCATCTTAGAGATGGCAAAACTCATGAAGAGTTAATTTAAATAACTTTCCAAATTTACAAAGCTAGGAAAAGGTGGAGCTCAGATTCAAACCCAGCAAATCTGGCACCAGCCTCTTCAGAGACTAAATTGATCAAGTTGTGGTAAAACTCCCAGAGTTGCAAGGCATAGCCTTATCTATTTGTCCCTATATTTTTTTGCTTGATTCCCAAAGTGCTAGAGTGGGCATCCTTCTGGAAGCTGAGGGTCACCAATATAGAATCTTAAGGGGACATTTTTGGTTTTCTAAAAGAAGCAAATTGCAATTTTAGGAAAAGTATAGTTTAGACATACTAAAAGTATTTAAGAAAATATTGGATTTTGCTGTTTCTTTGTGACTATTTTTGTTGTTGCTGTTCCTCTACATTCTATTTTATCTACAATAGAGATCTTTAAGAAAAAAAAAAGTACTTGCCTTCAAGGGCAGGTGATGCCGGAGTGGGTCTGGAAGCTTGTTCTGTCGGTAAGGGAGGTGGAATGGCTGGGCTTTGTCCTACACAATGTAGAAGTAGGAATTGGAAAAAAAAAAGTATTAACAAATCTAATATCCACAACTAAAAAGCTAGATCTGTCCCCTACATGCATAATTCATAATACCAAGCCAAGTATAAATCATATTATTATGCAAAAAAGAAAGCTATTATTAAGGGAGATCTTTAAGAAGACACCTTCGCGGATTCAGTTATCTTCAGAGCCATTTCTGAATATATTATTTTCCATAGATGGATATGCAATGTTAAATATATCTACTGGACTTCATTAATGGAAAATGTACATGTACTCAAATTAAGCAATTTATTTTTAATATACACACTAAGTTATGGAAACTAAAATCTCAGAAGCTGAGGGGGAATCTTAATATAAAATTAATCACTATTTTTTCCATTTAACTAAAAATTCTCAAATGATATAATATAGGCAATAAAAGAAGGTTGAAATTCATAGGCCTTTGATATTGAACAGATACATTTTTCCCTACCATAATAAATGACCTGTAGTTAAGTAAATAATGAGCCAAAGAGAAAATATATTCAGTTTTATAGAACTTTGAAAGCTTCTCTCAAGTCTCTGTCTGAGCTTATTATGAACTGCAAAAAAAAAAAAAAAAAAAAAAGAGAGAGAGAGAGAAAGAAAGAAAACCCACAATCATTTCCAAGTACTTCTTTATCCCAAGTGATTTCTTTAATTAACCAATACCATCCAGGCCATGAACTCTCAACATTAGCTATCATATGATCCCATATAAATTGCTTGCAAAACATTTTATCACTACTTTTCATTCCATAAACTTCTGCTGTGTGTTTTTTATCCAGAAATCAACATGCAACATGGGCATGTGTAACTTCTAAAATCTCACTGACAACTAGATATTATCAAATGTCAGCAGACCTGCCTTACTGAAAGTTTTCCTTTTTTAGAATTCACCAAAATTAGTTATCTATGGTGTAATATGGTTTAGCAAGCAAAGTAATTAGAGTTGCACAAACACCACATTTCGGGCCTAGGCCCTCATGCCACATGGAGCTCTGTTCATCATATATGGTTCTTGTAGCTGTTACACCCATACAGGTTGATTACTGAGCATGTTTAAGTATGTATAGAAGCCAAACATACTGTTTCATAACTTACAGGCCGTATGTCTAGAAAAATATCCATTCATAATATTGTTAATTTCTTTCATTATGGAAGTAAAGATTGACTTAAACATAATATAACATGGAAGTTTATTTTTTCATTAGCAAAGAAAAAATAAGGCTGGGAACACTAAAAAGAAGGTTGATCCACATTATCTTTCTTTCCCTAGCTAACAATTACATAGTGTTTACTATGTGCCAAGAATGATCCAAATGGTTTTCCTGCATTAAGTCATTTAATCTTCACAAGCTCTTTGGGATGTGCATATTAGTCTCATTTTATAGTTTTTAAAACTGAGGTTAACCAGAGTTTAGGCTTCTCAGCTGCTAATAAGTGGAATTGGATTTCAATGCAGGTTCCCAAGTTGCAATTCTTAAAGTTCCTCTCAGATTGCCTATGCTTAACAGAAGGGTCATCTATCAGGAGTCCATGACTATAGCTGACGAGGGACAGAGGAGTGAAGCCTCTACTCTAGGTTTCTACTTTCTCGGTGGGTCAAAGGGATATATACTTGGAAAGATCTATTCCCCAACCTTGTTTGAGGGCCATTCTTGAAAAAATAATTTTAAGGTACGGTGGTATTTTGTAGCTTTGAAAATAAGCTACAAGGACAAAGAAGGAGTCAGTTAAATGACCAAACTTTTAAAATATGAGTGTCCATAAATATACATCAATTGTTTCTAAATACTAAGATAGATCGATATCTTCATAGAATGGTGCCTGTTGAGTCTCAGCTGCTTTCTACCCTGTCATATACCTCGGTGAATAGTAGTGGGTGTATAATTATAGTCTTTTATAGTCTTGAGTTATTGAGGAACTTATTATACTATATATAAAATTATTTCCCTGTAAATTTCACATAATTTACACTATTACCTATATTTAGATTTATCTGAAGGAAATATAAAGTTATTACTTTATTTAAAACAACTTTATTGCATACTTATTATATACCAGCACCAAAGAATTATTAAACCCCAACCCTGCCTTCAAGAAGTTCCCAACATACTGGCTGAAACAGACCTCTAGACAGATCATTACATGATAGTGTGTTGAAGGAAAATCGTATATACTAAGGATATACTGCAGAAAGAGTCTTGAAAGAGAGTAGGTTAACAGCCTAAAAGGAGCCTGCCAGGTAAGGAAGGATGGGGAAGACGGAGGGATTCCAGGTGGAAGGTATGTGGTAAATTAAAAAAAAAAAAAAGCCTGGATGCCAATATATATATATTTATTAGAACACACAAACTGGTGCTTCTGCGGCATAAAGTGCAATATGCAGTTGATATCAGAAATTCTGCACAACTATAATGCTCTTTTTATTCTGCTCTCTAACATGGCTGATGGCATGGTTGTAAGGCAGTGGACACAATGGGTAACAATGGGAAAGTAGGACCACAAGCAAAAAAAAATTAAAAAAAGAAAGGAGAAGCCAGCTGGCTGCCTGTCTCCATGGTGACAGTGATACTAGCCCTGGCAGGGAATTACTAACTCAGGACAAGTTTTTGTTGTGATAGGGTGCACCAAAACAAATCAGATGGGTCATACTTGAACATGACACACGACTTTGGTCCTGACTCATATAATCAGTAATGTCAGAGAATCTTATTGAAATCACAAATCGTTTTGTTAGGTGAATGAATACATTATATAACATATATAATAATACATAATGAATTATATTAAATGTGATATTATATTTATAATACAGCTCTACAACAAAATCAGAGTTGTTTAGTATAAAGACTGCATGCTTAGGAGTCACATGGGTATTAAGCGATAGCTTCAGATCTGTCACTTAGAAGCTGTGTACATTTGAAAATCTCATAACATCTCCAAGCTTCAGTTAAGGTGTTTATAAAATGTGGATAGTTGTAGGGGTGTTATAGAGATTAAGTGATGAAGCACCCAGTGCATGGCAGATACTCAAAATATTAATTCTTTTCCCGATAATGTATTTACAATTTAAATCCCATCTAATTTCACAAGAAGATTTGAAGCTGACTTTTGAAGAAAAACAAAAACAAAGAAAATTGAACATGACAGAAATAGCAGAACTCATTTGTAGAAAAGAGGCTTATAATTTTATTAGGAATATATTCTTTTGGAATTCCTGAAGATTGTTATTCTCTGAAGGAAAGATTTAGGCTGTTGAAATTTACATTCGAACTCTAAAGGTGCCCTTCATTTTACAAGCTATTACCTGAAAATCCCTCTGACATTCAAACACAGTAAGTTGGCTTCATTTCTGTTCCTTGAGTGATTTGGGCTGGCTTATTTCCATAATACCTGAATGGTAGGTTGGCAAATTGCTAATACTTTATTGTTCTGAGTTCTTTTCCATACAAGTCAATTTGGTTGTTTTTGATTTAGTCAAATTCTTTTGGGGCTAGTGTACAGTGTGCATTCATTCTAATGATCTAAGTTACTGATGTTTTCTTTACTTTCCTAGAAATGATGAATGAGATTACTAAAAATCTTGTCAAGGTAGGAGGCTATGAGCTGAATTATGATTGCATGATGGAAAAAAGCAATTCACTACACTGAAGTTTAATCTATCTAGTTTCTTTATGAACGAGATTCCCTGATTGAAAACCATTTCTGAACAACTGAAGCCTACTCCCTCTGTCTTGTAACAAATGTTAAGGCTGTTTTTTTCTCTACCATCTAATAGAGATTTTATGTCATAGACCCTCATTGGATTTTCCTGGAAGTACGGAGAGTTACATCCAGAGAACTCTGAACATTTTGGAAGGACCCCAATCCTGCAAACAATGAATGGCAATAAATCCTGGGACTGGAAAGGTATGAGGACCTCCAAGTAACCATTGAGTTAAAATTCCTTTACATTAAAAACACACAATATATGAAATCATTACAAATCCCTGTGTCAATTTGTTCTTTCAGGTTCATAGAAGGCATTTGTAAATCTATGACTAAAAGTAAAGTGAGAAGATGTGAGTTTAATAAGGAAATGATAGTCAAGTTTATTAAAGCAATAATATTACTTATGTATTGGTATAAGTTTCCTAGACTACTTTTGTAAGATGTGGAATATTTTGAAAGTTTGGAATTTAACAAATACTAAAATTAAATGAAAAGATGGTTTTATATTTTAGGCTGAGACATGTGATTGTGCTAAGGTTGTGTGTTAATAGGGACACCTTGACCTTCATGCTTCCTTACTATCACTTGCTTCTGTCTTGTACTTTTGGACCACTTAGGGATGGAAAGAGGAGACCCTAGAGATATGGGGTGCTAACCACTCCTCCCTTTCCCAACCCCATCTATTAAAAATAATTGAATTGCCACTCATATAATAATCAGAGATGTTCAAATTTGCCTATTAAACAAAGACCTCTCCAACTGGGAATAATCTGAAGAAGTTCAGGAGTTTGTGTGAGGTGGGCAGGCACAGGATGTTTTTACTTCAAACAGACATCCTTATACCTTCCATTTGTGTGTTGCTAAATGTCACCACTGTACTTTGCGTTTCTTTTCTTCCTTCCAGGGGCTTCTCAACCCCAAGGCAACCATAAAGTCCTATACAAAGAAAGATACAGCAGTGTGAAAGAGGCCTGGATGAAAAAACAAAGACAGAGCCAGTGAGCCAGAGCCAGAGCCAGAGGACAAGAGAGAAAGGCAGAGAATGGAAAACACAGACAGAGAAGGCAGATGCGTAGAGAGACAGAGATTCAATGAGAAAATAAGGAAGGAAGAAAGAAAGAAAACAAAAACGTTCTCAGCACTACAACTTCTGCCTTGTTCTGTTCCAGAACAGTATGAGCTCAGTACTTTTTCAGACTCTCAATTTTCTACAACTAATAATTTGCTCTTTCAGTTAGTGGCAAAGGCTTAACGACAAAGGTTCATCTTTAATATTAGAGAGGCACTTTTAAAATTTATGATGCTAAGCCTTTTGTTCTGGATATGGTATGTTGCACAGGTCTAGGGACTGGGATTTCAGATGTCTATTCCGTACCCTTATTCTTTTATTTATTAAATCTTTTAGTGTGTATTTTTTTCTATTTTCTCTTCTTTTATTAGTATGTATTTCTTGAGTCATTAACATACAACATATATAGGACTTCCTCTGAGGATACAATAATGTATATGATGGACAAGATACGTAAAAGTGCCTTGAAGAGACTTGGTCTTGTGAGGGGACAGACAGGAAACAGGCAATTATCACCTAACTTAGGTCTGTTGTTTCAAGGTAAAATAAGAATAATAACATCTGTGTTGGCTGGGATGTTGTGAGTGTTTGTGGAGATAATAGTACAAATGAAATTACTGAGGGACAATGGTGAAGATAGGGCCATATCATGGAGCTTACACTAGTGATGGAAGGAGATGGGAGATACAAAAGCAAGTCAATATTTCAGATTTCGTAAATGAATGGCAAGCATAGAGCAGTGAGGCAGAGAATGACTGGAGAAAGAGACTATGTTAAACTGGATAGTAAAGGAAGAGCAGGACCCCACTAAACTATATGGAGTTTTGTGCAAATCACATGAACACACGTAGAACATTTTAGGCTGCTCATGTGACTTTGGATTTGTCCTAAGGGCAATAGTAAGCCTTTGAACTGCTTTAGCATGATAGGATTTTAAAAGATCACTGGCTGCTGTGTGAACAAAAATAATGTTGTAAAGAAAAGGATATTAGCTGTATCAGATCAGCTGGAGACTACTGAAATAACCCAAGCTGGCTTGGACTACATAGGAGTAGTGTAAACTCATTCATTCATGCAAGAAATACTTACTGAGTGCCTACTCAGTACCAGACCCTTTTCTAGGACATGGAGTTATAGCAGTGAACAATATAGAAAAAAATCCCCGAATTCATGGAGACTCCAGTGAGCAGAGACAAAAAAATAGCAACTAAATAAGTTAAAAGGAATTGAGTACCCTATAAAAGTTTATCAGGGAAATGTTATAAGGAATGACTTTCGGAGTAATGGGTAGTGATCTTAAATGTATGGTCAATGAAAATCAGAAGTTGTAGAGAAGTGGATAAATTCACAGTACGTTTTAAAGTAGACCTAATAAGACTTAATGAATTTGATGTGGCAAGTGAGAAAAATACATCAAGGATGATGACTTTTATAATTTGACTTGAGTATCTGGGAACAAACAAGTACAGTGCCATAATAAGGGCAGAAAATTTTCCATTCACTCAGCAACTTATGAACTCATTTGCTTAGTCTTTATTGCCTCTTGCATTATGTAGTTTTCACTTTGCTGGAGTACTTGTATAGAAGATCACCAGTGAAGAAGCCAGAGATGGTTTATTTGGTCATCCCAATAATACATCTTATTGTTAATTAACTCTCAAGGGTTTTTTTTCACAATTTTAGAAAAGGTTTAAGCAAATGAATTATTTAACATGAATTGGCTATGTGACCCTACTATAAGGTGTTTAAAACACCAACAGCTTAAACTTCTTAGATCAAAGGACATCCTCCAGGCCAAAATGTTTCCACTGGAACGGTTTCTTTGCTTCCTGATTAAAAGCTTCCCTAATATATTTCCACGTGTTATTACATATTTTCGTATTCACTTTGATGGAAAGCAAGAATAGCAGCCAAATACATATTTCATGCATTCTTTTGATTAAAAATGATAAAGGTAATATTAGTGTTTTTTTCTTTCTCACCTCCAATTTATGAAGTGGAAATAATTTTCCATGGAATGGCCAACTAAAGAAAAGAAATATGATAAATTCAGATCATATCATTGTTCCATTTATCCTTGTACCCTGTCTGTGACAGAATACCTGATGTTTGGGATATAACAAAAATAGATGCATAGAATCATAGAGTTTAAGAATGTAAAAGACTTTTGAAATCAGCCATTCTAATACCCTAATTTTTAAGATAGACAAAAAATGGTCTCCGGAAGGATAAATAGTCTAACAAAGGTCATGCATTGAGAACAAACCTAATATGAGCCAAGATGGCCGAATAGGAACAGCTCCAGTCTACAGCTCCCAGCGTGAGCGACGCAGAAGACGGGTGATTTCTGCATTTCCATCTGAGGTACCGGGTTCATCTCACTAGGGAATGCCAGACAGTGGGCGCAGGTCAGTGGGTGCGCGCACCGTGCGCAAGCCAAAGCAGGGGGAGGCATTGCCTCAGTCGGGAAGTGCAAGGGGTCAGGGAGTTCCCCTTCCGAGTCAAAGAAAGGGGTGACGGACAGCACCTGGAAAATCGGGTCACTCCCACCCGAATACTGCGCTTTTCCGACAGGCTTAAAAAACGGCGCACCACAAGATTATATCCCACACCTGGCTCGGAGGGTCCTACGCCCACGGAATCTCGCTGATTGCTAGCACAGCAGTCTGAGATCAAACTGTAAGGCGGCAGCAAGGCTGGGGGAGGGGCGCCCGCCATTGCCCAGGCTTTCTTAGGAAAACAAAGCAGCCGGGAAGCTCGAACTGGGTGGAGCCCACCACAGCTCAAGGAGGCCTGACTGCCTCTGTAGGCTCCACCTCTGGGGGCAGGGCACAGACAAACAAAAAGACAGCAGTAACCTCTGCAGACTTAAATGTCCCTGTCTGACAGCTTTGAAGAGAGCAGTGGCTCTCCCAGCACGCAGCTGGAGATCTGAGAACGGGCAGAGAACGGGCAGACTGCCTTCTCAAGTGGGTCCCTGACCCCTGACCCCCGAGCAGCCTAACTGGGAGGCAACCCCCCAGCAGGGGCACACTGACACCTCACACGGCAGGGTATTCCAACAGACCTGCAGCTGAGGGTCCTGTCTGTTAGAAGGAAAACTAACAAACAGAAAGGACATCCACACCAAAAACCCATCTGTACATCACCATCATCAAAGACCAACAGTAGATAAAACCACAAAGATGGGGAAAAAACAGAACAGAAAAACTGGAAACTCTAAAAACCAGAGCGCCTCTCCTCCTCCAAAGGAACGCAGTTCCTCACCAGCAATGGAACAAAGCTGGATGGAGAATGACTTTGACAAGCTGAGAGAAGAAGGCTTCAGACGATCAAATTACTCTGAGCTACAGGAGGACATTCAAACCAAACGCAAAGAAGTTGAAAACTTTGAAAAAAATTTAGAAGAATGTATAACTAGAATAACCAATACAGAGAAGTGCTTAAAGGAGCTGATGGAGCTGAAAACCAAGGCTTGAGAACTACATGAAGAATGCAGAAGCCTCAGGAGCCGATGCGATCAACTGGAAGAAAGGGTATCAGCAATGGAAGATGAAATGAATGAAATGAAGCGAGAAGGGAAGTTTAGAGAAAAAAGAATAAAAAGAAGTGAGCAAAGCCTCCAAGAAATATGGGACTATGTGAAAAGACCAAATCTACGTCTGATTGGTGTACCTGAAAGTGATGGGGAGAATGGAACCAAGTTGGAAAACACACTGCAGGATATTATCCAGGAGAACTTCCCCAATCTAGCAAGGCAGGCCAACGTTCAGATTCAGGAAATACAGAGAAGGCCACAAAGATACTCCTCGAGAAGAGCAACTCCAAGACACATAATTGTCAGATTCACCAAAGTTGAAATGAAGGAAAAAATGTTAAGGGCAGCCAGAGAGAAAGGTCGGGTTACCCTCAAAGGGAAGCCCATCAGACTAACAGCGGATCTCTCGGCAGAAACCCTACAAGCCAGAAGAGAGTAGGGGCCAATATTCAACATTCTTAAAGAAAAGAATTTTCAACCCAGAATTTCATATCCAGCCAAACTAAGCTTCATAAGCGAACGAGAAATAAAATACTTTACAGACAAGCAGATGCTGAGAGATTTTGTCACCACCAGGCCTGCCCTAAAAGAGCTCCTGAAGGAAGAGCTAAATATGGAAAGGAACAACCAGTACCAGCCACTGCAAAATCATGCCAAAACGTAAAGACCATCGAGACTAGGAAGAAACTGCATCAACTAACGAGCAAAATAACCAGCTAACATCATAATGATAGGATCAAATTCACACATAACAATATTAACTTTAAATGTCAATGGACTAAATGCTCCAATTAAAAGACACAGACTGGCAAATTGGATAGAGTCAAGACCCATCAGTGTGCTGTATTCAGGAAACCCATCTCATATGCAGAGACACACATAGGCTCAAAATAAAAGGATGGAGGAAGATCTACCAAGCAAATGGAAAACAAAAAAAGGCAGGGATTGCAATCCTAGTCTCTGATAAAACAGACTTTAAACCAACAAAGATCAAAAGAGACAAAGAAGGCCATTACATAATGGTAAAGGGAGCTAACTATCCTAAATATATATGCACCCAATACAGGAGTACCAAGATTCATAAAGCAAGTCCTGAGTGACCTACAAAGAGACTTAGACTCCCACACATTAATAATGGGAGACTTTAACACCCCACTGTCAACATTAGACAGATCAACAGACAGAAAGTCAACAAGGATACCCAGGAATTGAACTCAGCTCTGCACCAAGCCGACCTAATAGACATCTAAAGAACTCTCCACCCCAAATCAACAGAATATACATTTTTTTCAGCACCACACCACACCTATTCCAAAATTGACCACATACTTGGAAGTAAAGCTCTCCTCAGCAAATGTAAAAGAACAGAAATTATAACAAACTATCTCTCAGACCACAGTACAATCAAACTAGAACTCAGGATTAAGAATCTCACTCAAAACCGCTCAACTACATGGAAACTGAACAACCTGCTCCTGAATGACTACTGGGTACATAACGAAATGAAGGCAGTAATAAAGATGTTCTTTGAAACCAACGAGAACAAAGACACAACATACCAGAATCTCTGGGACGCATTCAAAGCAGTGTGTAGAGGGAAATTTAAGAGAAAGCAGGAAAGATCCAAAATTGACACCCTAACATCACAATTAAAAGAACTAGAAAAGCAAGAGCAAACATATTCAAAAGCTAGCAGAAGGCAAGAAATAACTAAAATCAGAGCAGAACTGAAGGAAATAGAGATACAAAAAACCCTTCAAAAAATTAATGAATCCAGGAGCTGGTTTTTTGAAAGGATCAACAAAATTGATAGACCACTAGCAAGACTAATAAAGAAAAAAAGAGAGAAGAATCAAATAGACGCAATAAAAAATGATAAAGGGGATATCACCACCGATCCCACAGAAATACAAACTACCATCAGAGAATACTACAAACACCTCTACACAAATAAACTAGAAAATCTAGAAGAAATGGATAAATTCCTCAACACATACACTCTCCCAAGACTAAACCAGGAAGAAGTTGAATCTCTGAATAGACCAATAACAGGATCTGAAATTGTGGCAATAATCAATAGCTTACCAACCAAAAAGAGTCCAGGACCAGATGGATTCACAGCCGAATTCTACCAGAGGTACAAGGAGGAACTGGTACCATTCCTTCTGAAACTATTCCAATCAATAGAAAAAGAGGGAATCCTCCCTAACTCATTTTATGAGGCCAGCATCATTCTGATACCAAAGCCAGGCAGAGACACAACCAAAAAAGAGAATTTTAGACCAATATCCTTGATGAACATTGATGCAAAAATCCTCAATAAAATACTGGCAAAACGAATCCAGCAGCACATCAAAAAGCTTATCCACCATGATCAAGTGGGCTTCATCCCTGGGATGCAAGGCTGGTTCAATATACGCAAATCAATAAATGTAATCCAGCATATAAACAGAGCCAAAGACAAAAACCACATGATTATCTCAATAGATGCAGAAAAAGCCTTCAACGAAATTCAGCAACCCGTCATGCTAAAAACTCTCAATAAATTAGGTATTGATGGGCCGTATTTCAAAATAATAAGAGCTATCTATGACAAACCCACAGCCAATATCATACTGAATGGGCAAAAACTGGAAGCATTCCCTTTGAAAACTGGCACAAGACAGGGATGCCCTCTCTCACCACTCCTATTCAACATAGTGTTGGAAGTTCTGGCCAGGGCAATTAGGCAGGAGAAGGAAATAAATGGTATTCAATTAGGAAAAGAGGAAGTGAAATTGTCCCTGTTTGCAGATGACATGATTGTATATCTAGAAAACCCCATTGTCTCAGACCAAAATCTCCTTAAGCTGATAAGCAACTTCAGCAAAGTCTCAGGATACAAAATCAATGTACAAAAATCACAAGCATTCTTATACACCAACAACAGACAAACAGAGAGCCAAATCATGAGTGAACTCCCATTCACAATTGCTTCAAAGAGAATAAAATACCTAGGAATCCAACTTACAAGGGATGTGAAGGACCTCTTCAAGGAGAACTACAAACCACTGCTCAATGAAATAAAAGAGGATACAAACAAATGGAAGAACATTCCATGCTCATGGGTAGGAAGAATCAATATCCTGAAAATGGCCATACTACCCAAGGTAATTTACAGATTCAATGCCATCCCCATCAAGCTACCAATGACTTTCTTCACAGAATTGGAAAAAACTACTTTAAAGTTCATATGGAACCAAAAAAGAGCCTACATCGCCAAGTCAATCCTAAGCCAAAAGAACAAAGCTGGAGGCATCACACTACCTGACTTCAAACTATACTACAAGGCTACAGTAACCAAAACAGCATGGTACTGGTACCAAAACAGAGATATAGATCAATGGAACAGAACAGAGCCCTCAGAAATAACGCCGCATATCTATAACTATCTGATCTTTGACAAACCTGAGAAAAACAAGCAATGGGGAAAGGATTCCCTATTTAATAAATGGTGCTGGGAAAACTGGCTAGCCATATGTAGAAAGCTGAAACTGGATGCCTTCCTTACAACTTATACAAAAATCAATTCAAGATGGATTAAAGACTTAAACGTTAGACCTAAAACCATAAAAACCCTAGAAGAAAACCTAGGCATTACCATTCAGGACATAGGCATGGGCAAGGACTTCATGTCTAAAACACCAAAAGCAATGGCAACAAAAGACAAAATTGACAAATGGGATCTAATTAAACTAAAGAGCTTCTGCACAGCAAAAGAAACTACCATCAGAGTGAACAGGCAACTACAAAATGGGAGAAAATTTTCGCAACCTACTCATCTGACAAAGGGCTAATATCCAGAATCTACAATGAACTCAAACAAATTTACAAGAAAAAAACAAACAACCCCATCAAAAAGTGGGCAAAGGACATGAACAGACACTTCTCAAAAGAAGACATTTATGCAGCCAAAAAACACATGAAAAAATGCTCACCATCACTGGCCATCAGAGAAATACAAATCAAAACCACAATGAGATACCATCTCACACCAGTTAGAATGGCAATCATTAAAAAGTCAGGAAACAACAGGTGCTGGGGAGGATGTGGAGAAATAGGAACACTTTTACACTGTTGGTGGGACTGTAAACTAGTTCAACCATTGTGGAAGTCAGTGTGGCGATTCCTCAGGGATCTAGAACTGGAAATACCATTTGACCCAGCCATCCCATTACTGGGTATATACCCAAAGGACTATAAATCATGCTGCTATAAAGACACATGCACACGTATGTTTATTGTGGCATTATTCACAGTAGCAAAGACTTGGAACCAACCCAAATGTCCAACAATGATAGACTGGATTAAGAAAATGTGGCACATATACACCATGGAATACTATGCACCATAAAAAATGATGAGTTCATGTCCTTTGTAGGGACATGGATGAAATTGGAAATCATCATTCTCAGTAAACTATCGCAAGAACAAAAAACCAAACACCGCATATTCTCACTCATAGGTGGGAATTGAACGATGAGATCACATGGACACAGGAAGGGGAATATCACACTCTGGGGACTGTTGTGGGGTCGGGGGAGGGGGAAGGGATAGCATTGGGAGATATACCTAACGCGAGATGACGAGTTAGTGGGTGCAGCGCACCAGCATGCACATGTATACGTATGTAACTAACCTGCACAATGTGCACATGTACCCTAAAACTTAAAGTATAATAATAAAAAAAAAGAAAAATGTTCACCAAAAAAAAAAAAACCTAATATAAGATTAAATTTTTTACCTCCATTTTATTTTCCTATTTAATCAACTATTTGGACAGTCAAGATAAATGCCAATTATTTTACCTGTTACCATAAATGACTCATAACCATTGACAAATCTATAGGTATTCACTTCCTAAGGGAAAGAAAAATCACACATTTTTTACATGGTCATTTTCTGTTTAACCTTAGTTAGACGTTGAATGGACTTGATATATCCCACAGAAGAGGCCCAGTACTTAAAGACCAGTCTCCATGTTAGCTGACCAATTTCTGCAGTTCTAGATAGAGTACCAACTGGGATATTTTTTAAACTTTCAGAATTACTAAGTCTTCATTTTTTAAAAATAATTTCTTTTAGTTATCTGAACAATATTTCTATCAACTCCACAGAAAATCATATTTGCGTATAGGTAAGGAAAATGGGAGATGGTGAAGACAGAAGATATAGGTAAATAGGTAAATACGAATTGCGTTTTTATTTTAGTACAAAGACCAAAGCTGATAGGGAAAGAGATTAATGAGGCAAAGTGGATGGATTAAATTCTCAAATAAAAATAATAAATCTATTTAATGTACCCAGCATGCAATGTCCTAACTTGCCATGGAATCATCCAGTGAAATGTTCAATACATGGGATTTCAAATTTTCAGTGATAAAACTGCCTAGAACTTGGCTAATTTCAGTCAATCCTCAAAGCTTAGCTCTTTTAGCCCTTCTTGGACTCCCCTCTACCCATTCCCCTGAAAACACTTTATGCTCTCAGAGGACCCAGTGTATGCTTTATCCACTGCTTCTGTGGTTCTCAATACATTTGTTTATTTACAAGTTTGTTTGTTTTTTTAAATCTTCAGTAGACAATAAACAACTTAAAGCCAAAATATGGACCATATTAGGCAATACATATTTAGTAAAGGAAAGAGCATTATTAAAAGTGAAAATTATTGCTTAAATGAGTGAGTAAACAAATGAATAATTCTAAATGTCACTCTGTTTTACTGCTTCTGGAGTGTTTTAATGTGAACAGACTGAATTATAGTATTTTTAGAGTGCTTGGTAAAATGTGAAATAGTACCAAAGATATACAACAAAACTTTAACTTATATATTTGTGGTTTTTTTCCCCAATCATTTATAGTTCTAGACCAAAGTATTTATTTTCTTTCTGGGGGAAGTTTACTAATTTATGAGTAGAACACTAATCTTTCAAAGAAAGTTATACATTTTTCCATGATTAGTGGGAAAAAGTGAACTAAAGCTTCAAGATGAAGAAAGATAGCTTCATTATTTAAACAGCTCTACTAACATATAGCACTTGTAATATATTCTGAATATCTATAATTCCCCACAAGTGGAAAGACTATGTCAATTATCTATTGTGTTATCTTTCAGCCTAATGAATTCTGCACTCACATATTAAACTTGAAGAGTGTTTTAGCGCCAGCAGAGTTCACTGAGAACATTGAAACACAAACAAAATGGATGACTTGCCAAATTCATCCAACTGACTTACAACTAGGACCCAAGTATGCGGAGTCCCAGTGCAGTGCTCTTATACAACAGTATCCTGTCTTTGAGCTTGCATTTGCAGGCATTTTCAAAAGAGCATAGGGGACAGGGAATGAACAAAACATAAGATACAATTTTAGAAAAGTGCAAAACAATTTCAATTAATTACAGATAGATATTATATTGCCATATTATGTTTCAGAATTCTAGTTTATATAATTTTAGAATAATAAAGAAAACAATTTAAATGTAATATTCCATAGTACAGTAGGAAGACATTATTGAGGGGCATTTTAACCCTTGTTTTATTTGAGGATAACTTAAAATACAAAGAACACATATTTTCAACCATCAGTTATGGTAACGCAATATTCAAAGTTATAATGAACTCAAGTTTCTGAGATATCTTTTTTCAATGTCAAAAATATTTAACATTTTTTATCAAAATAGAGATGCCTATTCTCTGAGGTGTTGAATGGTAGAAGTGGCTATAGAATAAATATCATTCATTTCATTAGAAATCCATTTTTCTTTATGGCAAATATTTAAAATATTAGATTTATGTATAAATTGTTTAGGTCCATAATTAAATATCATTAAAAATGACTGACTTTCATAACAGAGTGACACTCCGTTTCCAAAAAAAAAAAAAAAAGAATGACTTTCAAGAAAAAACACAAAACTTTAAGTAAAACTTCAAGCTAAAATCTCACGCTTAATTTATATCCCTCGGCATGCCCTTCACCTCTCACATGTTAACATACTGACTCACTAATAAATAAATAATAACTTTATTCATTTAATTTAATCGATCCCTGCTATGAATACAGAAGAGATATCAGTTCTCATAAGGCGGTTGTTTACCAACGAAGTTTTCACAATGCATATTCCTGAATATGGGTACATTGAATACGTCATAGCCTCTCAAGTTAAAATGTAATAGTTTAGGTTTTATATTCAGTATTACTTTCCAGAGATCCAACATGTATTAATGACTCACTAAAAGACTGAAAATCGAGTCACATTTAATTATTGATTTTTGGGAATGTGAGGGGCAACCAGAAAGGAGAAGAAATAAGAGGAAAAATGGTTCCCAGAGGTAAAATGATTACATTTACAAAATGTATTAAAATAATTTATAAATAGAGTAACAAATTTGCTTCTCAAGAGATAGGAGGCTTGACATTTTTGTAAACTACCTAAACATAGAAAATAAATAATGCCTCCTATCTCCTATCTTTGCTGGTTGTTTGATTTTAGGATTCTACTAAAAAGGTTATTGACAGAGAGCAGCTGGCATAGTTGATTGCTAAATCAATTCCCAGACTCCTAGAATCTGTTGTTTTCATTTTAAACAACCTTAAGACCCACCAACAACTCCAGAGATAAATTTACTCTGTGTTCTCTTTCATCTCAATTTGTTGTCACTCTAACCATTAAGAATACAATTTACACTTAAAAATCTAATCATGGAACTGGATGATATTTTATCAGGCCTTACAGTCAGCTTAATGGATACTCACGAAATTTAAAAGTAAACCATATCCAAGACTCTCTCAACAATTTTGGTGATAAACCATTTGTGCTGTGAAGTATGAGATCACAGACAACTCTGCTTGTGGTTTCTATGCCAGATTCCTTTCACTCACCAACCAACAAAGGCAGCTAAAAGCTATCAGCCAATTATCTGCTTTGTCAATTATATTGACAAGGTTTGGGTGTGTATGTCATATTTAAATTATAAGGGAAACAGTGATTATATATTTGTCTTAAATTATAGTACTTAGGAAACAGAGTGAAGAAAAAGGAAAAAAAAAAAAAAAACCTAAGTGGCAGGGACCCTCTGTTTTTGAAAACATATTTGTAATCCTCCCTAAGTCCTGGAGAAAATATATAGCCATTTGAAAAAATTCTATAATTTCCCCTGGTTCAATTTCCTAATTTCTGAGTTGAAGAGGTTATAACCCACTTCACAGGGCTTTGTGAGAAATACATAAGATGATCCATACCTAGAACTTAGCACAGTACCTGACATACCATTAGCACTCAGTACCACACGTGTTACATCTACTTTTATTGTCCTCATGTTGTCATCGTGATCATCTCTGACAAACAATCTCCAAAACTTCAAAAATCCTTAAAGAGTAGAAGCAGAACAATATCTTGAGAACTACCTGAGTTTTCCTCCAATTCCACTTAGCACGCTAGGCCAGGCTCTTTGTAAATTTCCTTTCTCATTATCCTTAAATGCAAGGGGATAATTTTTAAAAGCTATCACATGGCATGTGAAAAAGGGTTGCTTCTCTGTTATTTAGAGATCTAATTCCTAGAAAATAAAATCAATTTGGCACTTTTTAATCACTCTGTTAAACTATTTCCATACTACTTGATATTTGGCAAAAGGAAGGAATGTTGCAACTGTAATACCTCCCTTCCGCTTTGTTTCCACCTGTGGGAAAATGTCTTTCGTTTTTTTCTGTTTTTTGGCTCCTACACATTCAAATATTCTGTGTTCACAAGAAATTCAAAGAGACATGAAAAGCGTAAAGCAGAGCTATACAGCCAATTAAAAAGAAATCTGGTTTTGGAGTTTACCTCAGAAGGAGAAAAAAGAACTTGAGGTTTTACTTTAGCAGAAAATTTTCTACAGGGTGCTTTAATAAAGATGAGAAAACTTCACACATTTTCAACTACAGGCATGTAACATAAACTGAAATATTTTGTAGATAGAGGATAAAATGGAAGCATGTTAATAATTGTTATTTAATAGGCTTAACACAACAATTAAATTCACAAATATATTCTCACTTGAATGACACATTTGGAAGTCATCCAATCTCTCTTCCTGCTTTATATTGTGTATAATTGATACTATGTTGTCATTTAAAACAGTACACACTGCTTATCCAGTGTCTGCCAAGAGGCTATTTATAATCACATAAAAATAATATTCCTTTGGGAGAAAATCATTATTAATGTAAACATTGTCATGAATTATAGAAAATGGAAAAGGTCTACATCTTAATGCAACCAATATATAAGAGAATATTAAATCATCAATTTGTTTCTAACAGGGAGTTTCAATATGACAATATTGTACTTTTTTCATATCTATTTGCACTCACTTCCTATAAGAAATTGGAATTGGAATTGTGCAAACAAGTCTTTTCTACTAAACAAGAGCTCATTACCCAAACACTGTGGATGGTTACAATAGAAAGTGGTTTATAGGTGACACTTTTTCCCTCAGGAAAGCAGCATGTTAATCACAAAGCAGAAATACAGAATCAAATAGGGCAGTGGGCATTTGTAAGACAGAATATCAATAATCACGTGTGAATAACTAAGGACAGACACAAGTATGAATGGTCTAATTTGGAAGAGAACACAGTGGTACAGATCACATCTATATGGTGCAATGTTTTGTTCAGTTTTTACCCTGGATTGATTTCTCATTTATTATTATTATTATTATTATTATTATTATTATTATTATTATTATTATTATTTGAGACCGAGTCTCGCCCTGTCGCCCAGACTGGAGTGAAGTGGCACGATCTCGGCTCACTACAAGCTCCGCCTCCCAGGTTCACGCCATTCTCCTGCCTCAGCCTTCCTAGTAGCTGGGACTACAGGCGTGTGCCACCATGCCAGGCTAATTTTTTGTATTTTTAGTAGAGACGGGGTTTCACCGTGTTAGCCAGGATGGTCTCGGTCTCCTGACCTTGTGATCCACCCGCCTTGTCTTCCCAAGGCGCTGAGATTACAGGCGTGAGCCACTGCGCCCGGCCAGTATTATTAATTTTTAAAAACTACATCTAATTTTATTACCACTTCCTCCCCTATTTGGGATGAAAAAAATGGCCAAATAAATAGGAAACAATACTAAACTCATTGCAAGCAATTAATAATAACAACCACAATAAAGCTGAAGATAAGCATTGATAAAACACGCCTTGATAAGGCCTGTTCTAACCACTGTGGCCCTCTCTCTGGAATTTTGTAGAGAATATAATCTGCATCATATGATTTAGTGCTTAATTAGCACCTTCTTCTATTTTTCTCCCACAGCTGCCTTATATTATTCATTGTTTTATTCATAATCTCTGACTGGATTGTTATCTCCTTCTGGTTTGAAACTCTTGTTATGACTGCTAGCATTAAGTACATACTAGAGATTCAATAACTGCTGAGATTGATTAATAGAACAACTTTGAGCATAGCAACTCAGATGTTGATGAAGATGTAAACAGAAAAATATACTGTCTTTCAATTGTGGAACAATTATTAGTGCTATGCAAGAATAACAGTATTATTATGTCTTAATGTATGATACTTTAGAAACCAAAATATGAGATATACTAAGCTAGAATAAAAGTCATAGAATTGACTAAAAACTGTTGAGCAACGGGTTGAATAGTCTATAATCAGTACAATCAGTATAATCATCAATGCTACAATCAGTAACGTTAATGTTAATATTGCAAAATTCATTTTTGTCTTCATCTTTTGCAAATACAAAAGCATCCTCTGCAGAAAAAAAAAGCTATAGAAAAGAGATATTGTTTATCAAATAGCTCTCTCTGAAAATAGCCAATTATTTATATCAAAATTTTAGGTATGGGCATATTTATTATTTCCATATTTAAAAATATGTCCGCTTAAGAAAAGGGGTAAGAACTATGCATTTATGGAAATGGTTAGAAAGAGTCCTATTCTCTATTTTGTATCCACTAGGCCACACAAATAAACCTTAGAACAGCACTGGAAGAATATATTCATGTAATTTTCTAGAGTTCTTTTTCAATCTTCACTTGTGCATATAAACTAACAGATAAGATTATTAAAATACATGGTGCATTAATAAATAACACATAATTATTTCAATAATTCTTTGATTAAACCTTAATTTTCCTTGTTTCTCATGCAGCAATTCAAATTACTCTGTATTATTTCTTCCTTTTCAGACTATATTAGAACATGCTTTTAATAGTCCCAGTGGGTTACCTGAGAAGGAATTTATTCTTGTCTGACAGCAAGTCCATGCCATTAATAGTGACAAAGCTAGACCAAAAAAGCCACTTTAAGGAAAGTTCTCTCAAAGCAAAGATATACCTACAGAACCTGCCTCCTCTTTCGCAAGACTAGGAGACAAAATTCTAAAATTGTAAGAAAAATGAAAAAGCTTAAGCCTTCATTTTGTTTTCTTTTCTGGACATAGAGGATGTAAAGTAATATGAACACTGTATTAAGGGCAAAGTAGTCTTATTCACTAGCCTTCTCCAAAAACCTGAAGCATTTTATCACAATGAAACTGACTGAGAGAGTGGTAACAGCTTCAGAGGAAACCTCCACTCAGAAGTACATGGATCTATTTCTGTGTGTATTCCAGTTACTTACAGTGACTAGAATGTTTAATGGATTGATTTTGACAAATATGACAATCTGATACATTTATCTTGAATAGCTTCCATAGACTTCATATAATCAGAAAGCAACTCTCATGAGGGTATGGCAAGTCCAGGAACTGTGTGCTTCCATAATTAAGCCTAGGCTCGCTCTCATTTCTTCTCTCATTGTAGCCTAATTCTGTATGCTGCCTGCAGTCTACTCATGCATGCAGCAAACCTGTCTTTGTTAATTCTGAGCTTCTGTCTCTAGAGATATAACCAATAACTCCTTTAAGAAATCTTTACACAGGTCTATTTGCAATGTTTAGAAATCTGTCATCTTTTAAAATAACAAGATTATTTCTACAAATGAATAAAAATTGCTGCTCTGGGATGATCATCAAATTTTTTTTCATTGAAATAAATATTCTACACCCTGAACTTAATTCAACAAACATATCAGGTTTCTGGCAAGGTATGAGGCAGTGGAGATTTAAAGACAAATATTTATTGAAGGTATATATAAGCAGCAGAAAAAGATGTTCTAGGGAGAGAATAATAATGCTACGTGAATATTAAATCAGAAAGCTATTAGAAATGGGTAGAAAATCACAATTCTGCTATATATGGGAACCACCATCCACACCAAACACTTAAATAATGCTTATTATGGTTATTATAGTCAAGAGGGTTTTATGTGTATGTATATGCTCATTGCTTAAAATATACATTAACCCTATAAAGTTATCTCATTTTATAGATGAGGAAAGAGGCTCAGAAAGTTAAGTAACTTGCCCATGTTCATTTGAAGTTTTTCTTATATAATTAATTCTTTTTATGACACTAATTATTCTATTTAATTTTTTTCTCTCCTATTCATTCCATGGCTTCAACCATTTTCTCTTTTATTTGCTCCTGAAATCCTTGTGCAGCTCATTCTGTGAATGTTGTATCACTAGTGGTTTTGTTATCAGGTAACTGAGGAACCCAAGGACCTGGGCTTTCATTCATAGCAAATTAAGAAGAAGCTCCATTTTTCCAGACTGTAGTGAGTCTAATAAATAGTCAAAATCTTCCATTATTAAATTTAAAGGGCATACAAGTGCAGTTCCAACAGAGGCATAAGATGACTTAAATTACGGTAAATGAAATGGATCCAAACATATTTTCTGAAAGATTTTACTCTTAGAAAAATGTTGTATATCTAAACGTCTTATAACATCTTGGGTTTTGGGTTCTCTTGGTGTAACTTCTTTTTTTTTTTTTAACCACTGTTGAATAGTAAGATTGATGATAGGCTTATCGGGTATTTTCCCTCAATTTGGAGATCTAGAATATCTCCTCTGTGTAAAGATGCCAATCTATTTTTGCAGTCTTATTCAATAAATTCATTATACTATAGAAGTTGCCGTTTAGCTGATAATTTTAATTCAATTATAATAAGACACTTTTATTGTATTCCCGTTGATCCTTCAACTAAAAGAGTTAATGTTGTAAACATTACCTGAAGCACTTGGCATAATGTTCTGTCTCACAGAATCACATTTCAAGTTTGTATAAACCAAATAGAGCATTTTATTTTTATCATATTTAATAGGGCCAATTACATAACCTTATCAAAAATATAAGCAGATCTACAACTATAGGCATTAATCATATTAATCATTCCTCTACTTTAATAATAATAATTTTTTTCTGGATGTTTGTGTATGCTTGATGGCTAGCAATAAGTTCTACATAAATTCTACCTTGGCTTCATGAGGGCAGGTACCATACATATTTTGTTTATTGCTATATCTACATCTACTAGGAACTTACTAGTACTGTTCCTAGAATTCAGAAGACAAACCACATTTGCCTAAATTCTGCAGGGACTACAGAATTTGTCCATATGATCCTCATAACACTACAAATTATGTAATATTATTACCCATGTTATGCAGTAGATAGTAGAACAAAGGCTAGGAGACATCAGATGGCTACTATGGGCAAAATGAGTCTGGTATGTTATTTGTTGATGTGGTTCTGAAAAAATATTTTTCTGTCATTATCAAAATTCTACTTGTAATAGTCATTATATATGTGCTCAAGCAGTAAATAAGAGCCAACACTCAGAGAGCCATGTGCTGTAAATGCACTTTGACCAGAAATACAAAAAAAAAGGACTCAGCCAAAGGAGGAAAGAAAGATATATTGCTCCATTTCAGGTTATAAACAGGTCAAGTTCTAGCAGCTTCCTTACTGCATTATATTTTTAGTGGATAGTCATGCACATGTCACTGTTGGTCCTCCTTTAAGTCTAGATCTCATTTAAGTATCCACCACATATGTGAAATAAAATTGTCAGGATACTTTGTAGAATTTTGAGTTGCAACATTAATTTCTTAAGTCACACATAGTGCTCATCACCACCCATGAATAATGGCTTCCTAAAGTTTACCCTTCCTTCCTTCAATTCTATGCTTTAGACACACCAGTTTTGGCCATATTCTACAATTTTTTTCTCATTTCCGATCCCATAAACAGACTACTACCCATCATGCTTCATGAAATGCTGCTTTCCTTCATTGTTCTGCTTAAAGTCCTTCAAAGACTTCCCTTTATGCCAAATATCACCTCTTTCTGATTGACCAAGTGTTCTATAATCTGTCATCAAAACATATACAACGTATTATTGTCTGATGTTTGCCAATTTTAGTTTATCCTCTTTTCAGTCTGATATCCTCATTGTCTTATAAACACATCAATTTCACATGCACTATAATGTTCGCATTCATTTTCTCCTTCATTCACATACAAACAAAGCAATCCCAATATATTTCTCAGCACTTAGTCAAATATTATCCATCTTTCAAGTTCTAGATCCACTCCATCTTTTTTGACAGCAGGAATCACAGATGTTTCTCCTCTGAATCTTAAAACATTTAGAGTTCGTATTATACAATCTAATGCCTAAGTCTAAACTTATTCTACTATTTATTTTTTCTCTTTTAAATAATTACTCATTTCACTTGCTCCAGTCAGGGATCACCTTTTAGTATTCTTATATCCTCTACTATGCTGAGCCTGGGACTGCTGAGCATGCAGAAGATATTTAATATTTATACTCTAACTTATTTTACTCACTGTCCTAGTGACCCCTTCTTCACCTCTGACCTTTCTCCAAAACTCCACACTTGATTATCTAGCTGCTTACTTCAGTTAGAAGTGCTGTGAATTATCATTGCACTATATAGATGTCACAGTTTGCTGTGAGAATTAATGAGATAAGTATGCAAAAAAATGGTAATGACCCTTGGTATTTGGCAGATGCTAAACAAATGATATTTGGACTAGAATCTTCACATACTTCCCTTTTGCAGCTAGATACCATCTGTGGCTTGAATAATATGTGGTGAGTTCAAAGTCTCCCACTTCTCCCGGCCCTGTCCAGTCCAGTGAGCATTGACCCCACTGTATTCCTATACTCCCTTCTTAAGGTATCCTTTTAGTTTTTACAGACCAACAGCTTCTAAATAATCTTTTACTTTCCTATCTTTTGATATCTATAAATCCCATGACTCTATCTCTGTGATAGCTCTAAAAGTATCTTAATTTTCTCCATCACATATTCTATGATCAGGCTTTATTTCCTTTCGTTGGACTTTTCCTTGTTGATCTTTTTAATTTCATTCTCTCCAAACGATCTTGTACAACATTTCCAATCTTGTTTTTTTTTTTTTTTTCTAGATTTCCTGAGTACTAACCAAAGTGACCTCATTTGCAATTCCCTATCTATGTCTGGGAAACAGATAGATTTGGTATAAAGATAATACTGAAGACTGTGGAATTCGGCAGTCTTGGATTTGAATCTCCTGTCTGCTGCTTTGTGCCACCTTGGCAAACCACTTAAGCTCTTTGTGTCTCAATTCTTTCATCTGTAAAACATGGATGATAATATACTCCTTTTAAGTTTGTATTAGGATTATATAAGATTTCCATAGCCTGGTGGAGAGTAAATATTTAGCAACTGGTACTCACAGAAATCACTTAACATTTTGTGATTCTGTGCTTTAATATTATCACCTTAGCCTTGTATATTTTTATTCTAAATTTCACACAGACATATCCTACCAATATCTCAAGGTCTATTTCAATTGTTATGTCTTCCATACCATCTTCTTTGGTCTTTCACACTACGAGTACTATTTTTTTTGCAATAAATATTCATAATAAAAGAGAAAGCAAAAAAGGGATTTGGGAGAACATGTACATATATATCTTTTAATCATTTAAACAATCTTAAGTAATAAATCTTATAAATAAACTGAGATTCAAAAAAACAAAAAACACAAGTGAAGGATTTAAATCTTGGCTTGCGTGACCACCGAGTTTATATTTTTCCCATTGGTTCTCATTACACTATCAGGGTCCACTGGAGTCAATCAGAGTTTTTTTAGTTTCTTTTGTTAAGCAGTTCTGTTTATAAAAATTAATATTTCTTGACTTATTTGTTTTCTTATAGGTCTTCCAAGAAACAAAAGGAAATTTACCTATTTCTTAAACAGAACAAAACCCATTATATCTTGTAATTACCATGTGACAGCATTGGACAATTTTAAACATGTAAGGCACTTTATGGAAACTTCATGATCTTTTTTTTCTTATATTAAGCATTTTCTATTTCATCAACATAGGAACTGTTTCATCATTACTCATCAATCGTTCCTAACAATGCTTAAAACTAAAACAATGAAGAAGCAGAATAATGAAATTGCCTAGAAAGATGATGCAACTGTAAAATATATCATTATTGCCCCATCATCACTATGATTGTTTATAGTGTTGACTGAAGTATTACATCATCATTCAAGAAGATATAAAAGAAGCCTGGAGACATCTTTTTTTTTTTGAGACACCATTTTTACAGCCTACTTTGTTTCACTGAACACAGTTTATAATTCAGAATTATTTTTTCCATCCATAACTTCAAATAGAAGAAAAGTGACAGAGGAAGATATTTCAAAATTATTAAATGAATCAGAAGATGAATGCAGAAAGACAGAGAGCAGTAAGCTAGACTCTAATGATTAGGGTAAAATTGAAATTGATTATACAAGTGAAATCTCAGACTATGAGTCTTCATAAGACAATGAATTTTCTTAAACTATAGAATCAATGAGTGAACAATGCATTTCAAAGAGAAAAAAGGAAATATACTATAGTAGTTCCCTCTTATCCATAAAAAATGTATTCCAAGATATCCAGTAGATACCTGAAACAATGAATAATGCTGAATTCTATGTATGCTGTGTTTTCTTGATCTGAAAACCGAGATACCTAATAAGTGTCTCACAGACAGGTAGCTTAGAGAGCGTGGATACATCGGACAAAGGGATGATTCACATACTTGGTGGAATAGAGCGTGATAACATGACATGCTACTCAGAATGGTGTCCAATTTAAAACTTGTGAGTTGTTTATTTCAGGAATTTTCCATTTGATATTTTCAGACTGTGGTTGACTGTGGGTTACTGAAACTGCAAATAGCAAAATCATGGATAAGAGGACACGACTGTATTCTCATCTAGTTAGCCCTTTAACAGGAAGGAATTTATCCTGTTATATTTTGTGACAAGAACCTGAACCATTTCATTTTGCTAAAAGAGCATGTCACAGTACTCTTTCTTTATAAAATTCATGTGCCAAAATCTGTGGTTTCTAACTGCACAAATGCTAAAGAAAGAGAAAGGCAGGCATCCAAAAGAAATGGACAATGTGAATTTAAAAATAATTGAATGCATTATTGTAATCTATGTTTGTAAATACAAAAATGAAAACCTGCCCAGGCACAGTGGCTCACGCCTGTAATCCCAGCACTTTGAGAGGCCGAGGTGGGCGGATCACGAGGTCAAGAGATCAAGGCCATCCTGGCCAACATGGTGAAATCCCGTCTCTACTAAAAATAGAAAAAAAATTAGATGGGCACGGTGGCGTGCACCTGTAGTCCCAGCTACTCGCAAGGCTGAGGCAGGAGAATTGCTTGAACCCGGGAGGCAGAGGTTGCAGTGAGCCGAGATGGCACCACTGCACTCCAGCCTGGCGACAGAGTGAGACTACATCTCAAAAAAAAAAAATAAAGAAGGAACGAAAGAAGGAAGGAAGGAAGGAAGGAAGGAAGGAAATGTTTTATTATGAAATGAAGATGACATTTTCTTTTCAACAAAATTATGGACCATCAAGGTTTATAAAAATTAAAGTACTACATTTTGATGATGCACATTCTAGAAAAACCAGAAGTGATAATATATAATAGAACTTATTAAAGATATATTCAAAATTTGAAATTGGTATCTGCAAGATGAATACACTGAAGGCTCATAGATGATAACTGATGAGCTGTTTGTTTCTTTCTGAAGATATTTCCCATTTGAAGTATATACATCTTTGAAAACAGGGAATATAAGATAGAAACATTTTGTTTTACTATATTTAAATTCTTATCAAAACTTTCACTTTCCCTTTATTTCTACTCCTGTAAACTATTAGAAAAACTAAATAATTTTTTTTAATAATTAAAACTCCAAGAGGTTGATAGAGAAAATTACTCATTCCTGGTATACTGAGATTAGAATGTATATTTTCTATGTCTTCATTGTATACTTATCAAGTTATCCTTTTTAATACAATTATTTATGTCTTAGCTTACCTCTTTTCTGGACCACCAGCTTGCTGAGAGGATTCAACAACTACTTACTGAATAAACATTAAAATTCCCGAAACTTTTGTTGTGTGAAAATAATTAAATGATTGGAATTAGAGTGAATATGTTTTTATGGAACTATGCCTACCTTGGAGCAGGATTTTTTTCAGAAGTCTAAAGCAAAGCTAAATGGTACCTAGTCTTGTCTAATACAAGCAGTGAGCTCTGAAATACATTAAACCATTAAATAACAGTGACTATAATGCAATTACATTTGACCTCTTCTCAGCGAGATTTAACCAAAAATATAGTTAAGCACCACTAAAGTTCAAGAAAAGGATCTTAATAAAATGAGAGTACTAACTTATTCCTTGAGGCTCTTTCTAGCTATGGACTTAAAACCCATTGAATTGGAATGCAGGCTGCCAAAGAATGCCTTATTACAATCAGAGAAGATTCTGATAGGTGAGTACCCTCAATTTAAAGAAAACAAATGACACAAAAAGCAGAATAAATTACCGTGACATAATTCTTGGCTCAAGTAAAAGTCAGACAGTAGCTGAAATTTTAATAGTGGAATAACTTCTAAGGGATAAACTTTAACTTGTATTAAACTTTAATCATAATAGTTACAGAGATGAAAGCTAAAAAAAATTATTAAAATTACTAAGCACAAGCACACTAGCCCTGGTACTTGTAGTGGACATTTAAATTGGTTTCTTTATCTTTAGTGAATATAAAGAGGTCTGTGAACCATGTGATTTCTTCCTTACAGAAATTTGTCTCTTTAACTTGGGTGACTCTGCCCAGAAACCCATGCAATTTATTAAGCCCAGATAGAAGTTGGTGAAGAAGGAATATGAAAATGCCAAGCAAGATCCTGATGTGTTTTCTTAAAAATAGTCTACCTAAATGAATAAAATTATCAGTATAGCTGTCACTTAAGAAAAATGTGCTAAGCCACACAAAATTGAAAAGGAAATTGGAATTACTGGAAGGTTGATAAAGATAAATAAATCTGGCGGAATATACCTTGACCATCCGTACTATCAATTTCCAAAAAAAGAAAAAGAAAAAAACCCATAAATTGTGTTTTGATGTTGCAAATAATGTCTGTCTTGACCAGTTTTAATAGTTCTCTTATGAGTAAGTGACAAGTAGACTACTTTAAGCCCTAGGAAAAAAAGTGGAGGTTAATCAGTTTCAAGACAGCTACCATAAGACGAATCAATCTCTTTCTTTCTGTCTCAATCTCTCCCCGACTCTCCTCTCTCTGTCTTCCCTAAGGCAGGTTATGAGTTATTAAAACACATCCTGTATAACGCTGACCATCGGCACAACCAAAGATCTCAATATGAAGATGTTAGTTCATTAAATGGAGAAAGTATCTCTGGAGAGGGGAGATCTTCGGTGTTCATAATATACCTAAAATTACAAAATGTACATACAGGTCTATGCCAGTTGCCCATAGGACCAGTGTTGATAGCATGCATTCACTTCCTAGATTTAAATATAATTTTCTTCATGTTTCAACTTAATATAGAGTAAGTCAGTACAAGAGAATTTTGATTCAATACAACCAAATGAGCAGATCTTTATAATTTATACTGGTTTATTAAGATGGTCCCTATAATTGAAGTGAGGATTATCCCTGACCCTAGGATAGTGCATATTCACCATTCACAACAGAAAATCAGAAAGAGCAATTCAATTAATCTTCAGGTTTATAGACGAAATCTTAGCTAAAAATTTTAAGAATATCTTAGAAGCATTTTATTTGATGGGATAAAAGGCAAAACTTGGGACTTATGTCATAGTGTCAGCACATTTCATCAGCAAGCGTTTTCAAATTAGAACTGCAATTTGGGTTACTTTTGAGGGTGTGACAGTACAAAGGAAAAACTGAATCCCAGAGGGAAAAATCAAATTATAGTTTTAAAAACTCATTACCAATAATTAATAGTGAACTCTAGCTAAACAATACAGGTGTTACACTAATCCCAAACAGAAACAGATGGAAGCGCAAATGTTTTATAAGTAGTGGATACATGCAGAGCAATAAACTTGGCAAGAATTGTCTTATTCTATAATTGCCAGTCAGAGTCAATGTCTCACCACTTACATTGTCTCTAAATTAATATGCCCAGATTAAATCTGTGTTTCTCATTCCTTATTTTCAAAAATGCAAGTCATATTTAATGCTTTCTCACTCCATGTTTTGTATTGCCACACTGACAAAGATAATATTCCTGAATTTTGTTTAGGTACATTTACATAACATCATATAGTTTATTAAATGAAACAACAGGCATATTACATAGGCTTTCCTTCTCTCCCTTCTTCCTTTTCAACTCCTGGACAAGAAATACTCGCTTTTCAAGTATTTCTTTCATTTCTTAAACCTTCAAAATAATGAATGTAGGTAGATGAAATAAATTAAGAATTCAATTAGTAAGTCAATTAATGGTACAAAGAAATCTAATCCTATAGAACTAGGAATTATCTTCAGGGGTTGGAATACTCTATAATGTTGTAGGTCTGAACTTAGGACTTTTTAGAGTATGTTTGCATATGCCTTTAGAAGGGCTCTCTCTGTGCGGTCGTTAACAAAATCATCTTTAATTCATGCATAGATGATTTTATTATTCCTTCTAACCTTACTCTGTTGTTAGATTTTTCAGAAAGAAATGATTGGTATTGCGACTATTAAACTACTAGCATCCCTCGCTGAATTTCTTAGTGCATGGTTCTCTGTGTCTTGAGACTTTCTTAGGAATTATATTTTATGATCAACAAATAACTACTATGAATGATTTCAGTGGGACAGAAAACAGATAATTTTCTTCAAGTAAAGAAATTTTAAAACTAATAGAATATGAAGAAAATAATGCATGTTAGTCATTTATTAATTCATGCTCATCAACAACATAGATTCGTCTCATCTCATATGTAAGTAAACACCTAGTTGACTTTACAAAAATTATGTGTAGAGTATGAATTTCTTGAACCAACACAGGTGAACAAATGGTTAGCACTCCTTTGACCTAAAATTGAACTTTTTGTTTTTTTGAGATGGAGTCTTGCTCTGTGGCCCAGGCTGGAGTACAGTGGCGAGATCTCGGCTCACTGCAAATTCTCTCTCCCAGGTTCAAGCAATTCTCCTGCCTCAGCCTCCCAAGTGGCTGGGATTACAGGCACCCACCACCAAACCTGGCTAATTTTTGTATTTTTAGTAGAGACGGGGTTTCACCATGTTGGCCAGGCTGGTCTCAAACTCCTGACCTCAGGTGATCCGCCCGCCTCAGCCTCCCAAAATGCTTGCATTATAGGCATGACCCACCTGGCCCGGCCAGATTGAACTTTTAAATTATTTATTTATTTTGAGACAGGGTCTCACCCTGTAGCCCAGAATGGAATGTGATAGTGCCATCATAGCTCACACACCCCTGCAGCCCCAACCTCCTGGGCCCAAGCAGTCCTCCCACCTCACCCTACCAAGTAGCTGGGACAATGGGTGCATACCGCCATGCCCAGATAATTTTTATAATTTTTTTTGCCAGTTGCAGTGGCTCATGCCTGTAATCCCAGCACCTTGGGAGGCCGAGTCGGGCAGATAACCTAAGGTCAGGAGTTTGAGACCAGCCTGGCTAACATGGTGAAACCCCGTCTCTACTAAAAATACAAAAATTAGCCGAGTATGTTGGCAGGGGCCTGTAATCCCAGCTACTCAGGAGGCTGAGGCAGGAGAATCGCTTGAACCCAGGAGGCAGAGGTTGCAGTGAGCCGAGATCACACCATTGCACTCCAGCCTGAGTGACGAGAGTGAGGCTCTGTCTCAAAAAAAATAAAAAAAATAAAAAATTTGTACAGATGTGGTCTCCATATGTTGCCCAGGCTGGTCTCAAACTCCTGGGCTGAAGTGATCCTCCTGCCTCAGCTTCCTAAAGTGCTGTGATGACAGGTATAAGCCACCACACCCAGCCCTAACATTGAATTTTTGATATATATAGACTGAAACTTGTAAGTGTTGAGAGGTTCTCTTCATGTAGGGAACTCACCAGGCAGGCAGTGGTGAAATGAACAAATTAAAGTTATAACATTTTGTTTGTAGTCACTAGATGATTTGTCAACAATGCAAGGTTGTGACTGTGATCTTTATTTTAAATGTAAGAACACTAAAAATGAGGTAGAGTTCAATTATTTGCTCAAGACCTAATACTAGAAAAGGATGGAGTTAAGAATTATCACTGTATTTCTGTCCAAAGCCTTGTCTTTCCACCATATCACACTACCTTCCTGAAGGTTTATTTCCAATTATGCTATGATACTATACACAAACATCGATATTATTAATATATTATTAATAATATATATCATTAATATTATTAATATTAATATAATATATTAATATATAATATATATAATTATTATATATAATATATATTTATAAATTATAATATATATTTAGTGACTTTCCCCCTCATTTAAATTTCTTACTGAAAATGTAGAAGAAGGAAAAGGGGAGGAGGAGGAAATTATTTAACTAGAATAAATTACTGGGATCAACAACATTTTCCGGAGTGCAAAGGTTCTCATTGTCTAGTTTTCTAGAGCCTAGATGTGTTACCTATTTGTTTTAGAAATGAGATGTCTCTTTGATGACATACACATAAATTATAATTATATATTTTTGAAAGGCTTTCACAAAAATAGTTAAGAAAATAAAAATATAGCTGTCTTTAAGCAATTAGCTTCATTTATTCTAATATAAATGAGCTCCTTCCTTAACAATACTGTCTTCTTGGAAAAGTTTTCCCAAACATGAACATAGTTCTGTCAGTTTTTAAATCTGCAAAAGGCATAGTACAAGCAATCAAGTTACTCATGCTTAGTTCAGATGTTAGTAAAAAATACCTTTTTATACTCTGGGCAACAATTAAAGATACAAGACAAGGTAGATATATTCCTTTAACTCAAAATCCTTCCCCATTGTTTTGAATATTAATTCCAAGATTATCTATCTCCATCAATAGTTCTTTGGAGTGGCTAAACCAAGTTCATGTATAAGGGAGAAAATTTTAAAGTTTTGGAAAACAAAGTATAAATATTTGAAATGTGATGATTTTAATATGAATTGTGTTCACTACTAAGAAAAGAAAGATATTTTCATTGTCGTGGGTCTTTTCTTCTAAGTTTACCAAGAATAAAATAAGATGATTCACTGCTTCACTTCAAGACATTATTAAAGATTTTAGCATTCCTTATATGGAGAGATATTAGCACATATTTTACATTTCAACTGACTTCATTTGCAATAGGCCATGCAGTGACTGAAAGTAAAATTAAGACCTTAATGCCAGTTATTACCGCTTTTTATTGGTTTTATTCTAGATCTACACATGCATTATGCAATTTTTAAAAAATGAAAATACAGTTAGGTACATAAAAAGCCCACAATCTTAGAAACAAAGACTATTAAAACAGACAAGTACAAGAATTGCTTGGAATACCTGGTTTTAAATCCCCATGGACAAATATGTCAATCATATATCGACAGAATGCATACTGATCTGACAGAGTAGAAAGAAAAAGAGCAATGAAAAAATGTCATCAACACTTCATTTTTCTACAGAGAAATAATTTAACAAAGCAAACAAAATAGCACAATTCTATTTTGGTTACTACAATATTTTCTGTAAAAAAAATAATTTGCACTTATATGAAAATACAGAAGGAAAGAAAGACGACAAATATAATGCTTCATTTCTTCCATACAAAAATAACCTCAAAAATTGAAAAGGACTAGTTCAGGGTAATCTTATAGTGGTTGTTTTCAAAATAAAAACCTATTTTGTCAAATAATTGATTACAAAAGTCATCATATTAAAGCAATTTTTCCCATTTGTCATTTTATAAACTTTCAATAATGAAACAGAAGTTTCACAAGAGGAAATTGTTTCCAACTTGGAGTGTTTTATCAAATACTCAGTTCCAGCCCTTCTGCTAATTGTCTCTATGGAGCAGCAGAATGTCTTTTCCAAAAGACTATCAGGAGAACTAACCTCTTTGCAACCTGTTAGGTGGCCTCTGAATAAAAATGCTCTTTAATTGGGAGAGTAAATCAAGAACAGAGTAACAGAACCAAATGATATTGTTGTTAAACTAATCAAATGAGTAATCTTCTTAAGATCATCTTATGATCTTGACTAGTTTATGGCCTATGGTGAAAGTAAACAAACAAACAAAAAAAACATAGTATGTAAACATCATTTTGGGCAGACCTGGTCTTCAGGAGTTGGTTTTTTTTCTATTCCCTCTAGATTAAAGACATTGCACTTAACTTTAAATCCTCACAGAACTTTAGATTCTCCTGAGGTCAATCCAACTCAAAGCTCAATTGATGAATCTTTACCGTATCTGCTTTAAAGCATACATATTATGAAATAATTTACATTTCAATATTCCTGAAATATGCATTTTATTAATCCACCAAATCCGAAGGCAGCTTTAGGACCAAGAGAGTTTATTGAATTTAAGCAACATGTTACATTCTTAATTGCTCCAAATTATGCATATCAAACATATGAAATAACAAAGCTTGTTACTAAACAGATACACCTCTAAGGATTTTTGTAAATCTCGTTCTTTTTAGAGTAGTAACAGCATTTTTAGAGGAATCCATTTTATTATGAAATTCTGTTAGGTCTTTAAAAAATAAATATAGTTATTGAAGAAGATATAAAAATATAATCTTTTTCATTAATACCTAAATAAGGGCAGGCCAAAACTCATAAAGTTCCAAAAATTTAGATGTATTTTAGTTGTTGAAATTGGAGCACATTTTCCCACAGGAGAGGTAGGGAATGGGAAGGAGGCTAGTCCTCAGGTCATTCCATGCATTGATTTGCCCTTTGATGTACTGGCAGTAATAGCTGGAGTTTCTGATCCCAGGACCTGGGAACCCTATGATTGGGAAAGACATAAGGTTAAGGTAGAAGGTATTTTCTCTTTTCTAGACATGAGATTGTTTTCCTGAACAAAACTGTAGAACTGGCAATTTGACTCTAAGACAAAGCAAGATGAAAAAGTACATTTCCCTTAAATGAAAAGTTTGAAGTCAGACCAGTGTGGACTTTCTGAAATCGGCAGTATGTTCCCTTTATTTCAGTACCTTAAGTGACTGTACTCTTTTTAGATTTGTTCTGCCTATACTCTAGGAGTAGTTCTCAAAGGGCAACTTAAACACGAGAAAGAGAGAGGAGTTGTCAAAATACAGATTTTTGGGCTCCATCATCCAAAAAAAATTAAAATGCCATGGATCTGGACCCTAGGAATATGCATTTTATACAAACTCCTTAGATGAATCTAATTAGACTGCATTTACAGAATCACTGATCTAAAACCTTTCATTCCTTTTTCCCAAAATAATTACTCTTAGAGGCACTATAGACTCCCATGACAGCAAATAAGAGTGTTTGTTTTTATGTATGTTGGAAGTTTAGAATGCAGGGAGTATTTTTAATATAACATCCCCTCCAAATGAAATATTATCTGCCCCATGTTGTGATGGGATAGTTATATACATAACATGTTGAAGAGTGTACTGAATTAATTAAAATCTTCACGCTTCAGAGAGTCTTCTTTAGCTGAATGCTGACAATGTAATGAAACTTTTCAGCTTGTATGTTGAAATATTATCAAAGTACAGTCAGCCCTCCATTTCCCTGGGTTCCACATTGGAGCATTCAACAAACCACACGCCTGTAATCCCAGAACTTTCGGAGGCTGAGGCGGGAGGATCATTTGAGGTCAGGAGTTCAAGGCCAGCCTAGCCAGCATAGTGAAACCCCATCTCTACTAAAACTACAAAAATTAGCTGGGCATGGTGGAGGGCACCTGTAATCCCAGCTACTCCGGAGGCTGAGGCAGGAGAACTGCTTGAACCCGGGAGGCAGAGGTTGCAGTGAGCTGAGATTGTGCCACTGCACTCCAGCCTGGGCAACATAGTGAGATTCTGGCTCAAAAAAAAAAAAAAAAATATATATATATATATATATATATAGTTACAGCTACCATGGTTGGGTCTGTACTGAACATATACAGACTTTTTTTCCTTATCATTATTTACTAAACAATACAGTATAACCAGTATTTACAAAGCATTTATTAAATACATTAGGTAGTATTGGTAATCTAGAGATGATTTAATGTATACAAGAGGATGTGTATAGGTTATATGCAAATATTAGTCCCTTTTATATAAAAGACTTGAACATCTGTGGATTTTGGTACCTGCAGGGAATCCTGAAACCTATCCCCCACAGATACTGTGGGACAACTGTACCTTACTTATATTTCTTATATTTCCTAGATCCAAAAATCATTCATTTAATTAATACACCAACAGCCCAATGAACTTCTAATTGCAAAAAGGAAATTTCTTATGAATTCAGAGGATGTTTTTTAACTTAGAAAATTATTTGTTACAACACTTAGAAGGTTTTGTTATATGTAAATAGTGCTGTGATCTTGTATTCTAATGGCACCAATATATCAATAGGAATATGAGAAAGATGTTTTTATTCCTATCAAAGCTGATAGGAATTTTCAAATATTTTAAGTTAGGATGCCCATTTCCACCTGTCCTTGGCAATGACCTTAACAACGTATAAGAATTCTAGGTAGGTATGTGTTGGGAAGTCTCCAGTTTATCTGCTTAACCTATCTAAGAATACAGAAAAACCAAGCCTTCCTGATTTTGAAAGATTTGTGTTCTAAAAATGTTTCTTTAAACCCAACTTAAATATTATAGCAGAAAATTTTTCACAAAGAAAATCTAAATTGTCCTGCCATTCTAACTTTCATAGTTCTGAGATAATAATTTATATAATGTTAATTTGCTCATCATTGTAAGTACTTTTTCCCCAAATAAACATCCTTCTTGGAATAACACATGCTGTCCATTTCTCTCCTTCTTGATTCTCAGGAAGCAGTGATAGATGTCATTCAAATGATACCTAGTTGGTGTTCCCTGTGGAATAGTAACAAAGGGAAAATACATTCTGGGTGCAGAATGTCAAGAACAACAAAAAATTTTTAAGAAACCTGTAATGAGGATGGGGCACATGTGGTCCAGTACTCTATAACAGATTCACATTAGCTATACTTTCTCTGCCTGCCACAAATATCAAATAGTTGTTTTAAAAGAAAGAATGAGTGAAGGAGCAAAGTGTGTGGCAGCTGGAAAATTCGTTTCTCCTTCCCCACAGACCTCCTAGAGGTCATCAGAAAACTAGGGAGCAATGTCTGACTATGCCAACTCTTCCTACTCTACAAACAGATTTAGATGGGTTCATAAAAACTAGATTATTTGATGGGTGTGTGTGTGTGTCTGTGTGTGTGTGTGTGTTTATGGTAGGTGTGTATATACATATGCATCTTATCCCTAATGCTTTAAGCAGAAAAAGAGATGTATTATTTCCATATACAATATTGAGAGTAACTACATTGAATATATTCATATGTATACTATGTAATTAAATAATTACTAATAAATATGTGTCCCATGTGAAAATCTGTTTCCAAGTGAGTAAAGGACCTATGAGCCTTATTTCTTTAAAAAGAAGTATTTAGAAATCTATATGAAAAGAATGCCTCAAACATATTAGGTCTAACTTAACTATGTGAATGAGTATTCTCTTGCCCAAAAAGCTAACTCAACAGTTAGCTTAGTTGAGCTAACTCAACTAAGTCATCATATAAAATTTTCAAAACCAAAGCCTCAGAAATTAAAAAAAACTATATCTTTATCTTGCTTAGCTAAAATCATAATGTAATTAGTTTTCTTTAATTTAAAAATGCTCTTAATTAAATCTTTGCTTAGTAACAAAAAATGAAAAATAAAATGACATATTTATATGTCTGATCTGCCATTAGAGGTTAAGTTTTGAATACTTACCTAATGATACATTTATATAATTGATGGCAATTGTTCTCAATACTGAGACTTGCTTTAGCAATTGCAATTGTTTAGCTGATAAAATCACATTTGTGCTTTTGTTTTAAACTCTAAATGATATTTGAATGTCCTTTTAATAGATAAATAACTCTTTGTGTAGAAATAAAAATAGTAGACTGAAAAGGGATATGGTAATATAATGCTGTCTTTAATAAATCTGATTACTGATAGAAATGAAATACAATATTTGTGGCCTGGAAAATAAACATTATTTTAAAGTGTTCCGGTGATGAGTTTTTATCAATAAAATGTGGCTCCCAAATCCCCAAAGATATGAAAAATTAACATCAAAAAATACATTCACATTCCTAGTTGTTAGATAAGTATTTTGACATTTCCAAATATAACTGGCATCAATTTTTACACTCTGTATTTATGGTTAAAAATTAGAATGTACTTTGTAGGTTTTCACTGATTTCATGTGATTATTTTTCTTTTTGAACAGCAATCTAAAGTGTAAAGGATTTCAGGATCTAAGTAATCATACCAGTGAATCCAAAGATTATTTCTGCTGTTTTTTTACCACAGTAAAATATTATATTCAACGTATTTTCTCTTTACTTACTTCATCCTTTTTGTCTACCAAAATATTTCATTAATGACATAATTTTGATGGAAGTAATAATTAACTTTTAAATTTTTTTCATGGTGATATAATCACCTTGAAAATTGGAAAAAGTTTTAGAGCTCCTAAGTTTTAATATGACTTATATCTTAAAATAATAAATTAAAATTATCTAAATTTAAAGGTTTGTAGATCACTAAAAAAAGAAAAAATCTTTCCTTTTTAAAATATATATTTTTAAAATATGTATCTTTTGTCATATAAATCAGAGTTGACAAATACTACATGTGAATCAAAGTTTACAAATGCAAATTCAAGAGAAAAAAGATGAAAATACAGTACGAGTGCATTGCAAATTTCATTTCTTGTGCCTTATGAGGAAAAATTAATTTCAGTTTCATCCTCCAAATAGCCTGCTCTGTAATAAAATTGTAAGATTTCTTAAACTAAAATCTAATAGAAACCAATTCTTTGATACAGTCCTTAGATAACATTAGTCAAAAGTGCTACAAAGTAAAGAAAAATTTGGTTTTGCAATGTCTCCAAGAAACACCAATTACAGGAATAGTCTCTACATGTTAGATCCCCGTATTCTGTAAAGGAGTCTCAGGATTATACAGCAAACTGGAGTCAGGAATGGACTTAGGAAAAGAAACATTCAATAAGGGCCAGAGATGTGGTACGATAAGACCCTTAGTTGCCCTCCTAAACCTTCAGCTCTGTATATTCACATAGCAACCTTCCATAAAATAAAAATTCAGGTTTATATGCCACCTCCATTGAAGTGATATATTTTTGCAAAGTGGGGATGTAAGTTTGACATCACTCTTGCTGAAGAATGGCGAAATATGTCACATTCAGAGCTTTCTAAAGTTAGAAATTTAGTCAATGGAAACTGAAAAAGAAACTTGAGAACTGTCTTCTCTATAACATCTTGCCTATTAAATAAATTTAATAATTGGATGTATATTCTAAATGATGTGCTCTTGCCAATGCAACAGTAATGTATGGATAGTTTTTATGATATTTACTCTATATGATTCCAACATGTACCCCTTCACAAACTCCTTAGGAATTGCTGTCATTTTGGGGGACCACTTTCCTCCAAAGAGTATGACACATACAATCTTTATTCCACCTCTTAATAGACATTCCATATCTCAAAAATTCAACATTTATCCCCAATCTTTATATGATTTCGGATGCTACCTCCAAACCCCTTTTAAAAATACTTCAAAATGCCCCTTTAGATCTGTGAACACATTTTAGTATTTTTATAAATAAATATTAATTCCCAATTTACTGTATTTCTTTTCTGATATATTTACTTTAATGTCTTTTACCCCCATTTGAAGTCTGATTTTGGTCTTTTTCAACTTTTAATTTCACTGCATGTGCTTCTTGCCCAATATTCTCTTAGAACCTCCGGCAGCCTCCTGCTCTGAATGTTTACCTTTCTGTTCATGCTTTGACACAGCTGCTTTCTCTTTGTCCTCCTTTTCTTTGGGTTTTGATGGTGTTTTCTGTACTTCTTTTACTTTTGCAGCTGTTTGCTTCACTTTCTCCTGTTTTCCACCTTTCACTTCCTTTTTAGTCTTTTCTTCACTCTTTTCTGCAGTCTTAGCTTTCTTCTGTTCTGTATAAAGTTAAAAGATGTTGAAATACTTTTGTTTATTTACAAACATAATGTTTCATCTGTACTATGTCATTAAGGAAAATTGGAAAAGAAAGAGGGAAGAAAGGTAAGTCACAAGTGTTTATGTTAAGAACAGTATTTTTCAGGAAAACAATGAAAAATACTGTTCTTAACATAAACACTTGTGACTTACCAGAGTTTTATACAGTTTATGAAGTGCTATATTAGATAGACTACTAAAAGTGTTATGGCTTTTAATTTGTACATGAAAACACTATTTTTTAAGGCAATAGTAACTTAGCATGTCAACAAGGAGGCATTTGTAGCATGCAGGGGATGGATGTACAGGAATTTCTGTGAAAGACAATTTCCATACCAAACAGCCCAGTGAAGTAGTCTCCTTTTATAAGCACATGATCATTTTGCTTGATAACTGAAAGATCTTAAGGGTCATTCAAGAAACTGAAATGCCAACAAAGTCTTTTTTAAAGACAACAATTAGTAATGCAAGTGTAAAATTATCGCATTGGTGTTGACTAACAGAAATAAAACAATGAAATCCATTAGAAGATAACTGAAAGACCTATAGTCTAATGATTTGGCCTTAGAAAAACTGAAAGTGAAGAAATTCAGATATTGGCTCCTGTTTATCTTAAGTCAGCGATAATTCTACTAGTTTTTAAAGCCCTTAAACATATCATGGGAAATTCAAAGGGCTATAAATAAAAATATATATGAATAGATATATAAATTAGAACATATATATATTACACACATATATTCTTAATTTGATATTATCCGTATTTTGGAAGAGGGAACTGTGATGCAAATAACTAGTCTGTGGATCATTCAAGCATCTTTTAAAAAGCAGTAATAATGTAGCACATAATTTGTGGAAAATTGTTCATAATAGATGCTGAATATTGGACATTCCTTTTTGTATGTGACTACACATAACCACTATACACCACAGCAACTCTACTGCAATGTTGGAATCCTCTATGTCATTTGCTAATGCACTGTGTAGCCTTTATTGTCACTCATGTTAAAGAATTTGATGAAGGCCGGGCATGGCGGCTCATGCCTGTAATCCCAGCACTTTGGGAGACCAAGGCGGGCGGGTCATGAGGTCAGCAGATCAAGACCATCCTGGCTAACAGGGTGAAACCCCATCTCTACTAAAAATGCAAAAATTAGCTGGGCGTGGTGGTGCATGCCTGTAATCCCAGCTACTCAGGAGGCTGAGGCAGGAGAATCATTTGAACCAGGGAAGCGGAGGTTGCAGTGAGCCGAGATTGCGCCATTGCACCACAACTTGGGCAACAAGAGCAAAACTCTGTCTCAAAAAAAAAAAAAAAAAAAAAAAAAAGAATTTAATGAAAAAATGTAATCAAGTTTCTTGACTTTGGTACCCTAAATGATGATTTCAGGCTAAGCCAAGATAATATCAGAAGGTCCCATTGAGAGAATGAAAATGATAATGCCAGATGCTGGTTAGCTTGCAAACCAAAAATCATCTGTGGTATCGCACTTAATTGACTACGCCAGCACTTCCCAAAACACTGTTTCTCAGATACTTCAGATATTTACAGGAAGATGTTGATACTGTATTAGGTATTGGAGAATATTCTCATGGCCAAATTCATTTGGCAACAATAAGCTAACCTGGTCATTTAGCTTGGACTTTCTCAAAGCTGAAGTGTATTGAGAATTTTTAAGAAGGGGAATTATGATACACACATTATTCAATATTGTTTAATCATAAAATTCTCATACAAATATTACTCAATTACTCTATAAACTTTTTTTTTTTTTTGAGATGAAGTCTTGCTTTGTCATCCAGGCTGTAGTGCAGTGGCACGATCTCGGCTCACTGCAACCTCTGCCTCTCAGTTTCAAGGAATTCTCCTGCCTCAGCCTCCCAAGTAGCTGGGATTACACGCGCCTATCACCAAGCCCAGTTAATTTTGTATTGTTAGTAGAGATGGGGTTTCACATGTCCATAAACTTTCAACATCTTTGTGGCTTCTGTAACTACACTCAGGGGATTTTCTTCTTCCTATAAATCATTTCTAAACCTCCTTTGCTGGTTTCTGCTCTTTCCTGCAGTAAACTCATATGTTTCTGTGACTGAAACCAGCAGCTTTCTGCGGATGACTTTAAATTGAAATCATTCCAGAATTCCACACTGGAATGTTTATTAGTGTCTGTCTGGAAAGAAAGTTTCACTGGAGTGGTCAACAGCACCTCAATCTCATGCAACTCATTCACCTAAAAAACACTTCTAGAGAGTCTATGTTGACCTGGGCTCACAGCTAGTTGCTGGAGCTCTAAAAATCAGCATAATAATAAAACTACCTGAATAAATTTTAGCACAGCAAAATTAAAACCGTGCAATATCTGGCTTCCTCCTATCTCCCATGTTACAGCACTTTTCCAAAAATTTATTCCTCTACTGGACTGCTTTCTTTCTTTTGAATATTTTATGTATTTTTCCATGTGTCAACTGTTGTCAGACTGCATTCTCTATATTTTCTATATTTTTCCACATATTTAAATTTCTTTATTTCTTTTTTATTTATTTTTGTCTTTTTGTTTTTTTGTTTAGATAGACTCTTGGCTCTGTTGCCAGGCTGGAGTGCAATGGTGCAATCTTGGCTCACTGCAACCTCTGCCTCCCGGGTTCAAGCAATTCTCCTGCATCAGCCTCCCGAGTAGCTGGGATTTCAGGTGTGCACCACCAACATCAGCTAATTTTTGTATTTTTAGTAGAGATGGGGTTTCACCATGTTGGCCAGGCTGGTCTTGAACTCCTGACCTCAGGCGATCCACCCGCCTCGGCCTCCCAAAGTGCTGGGATTAAATTTCTTCATGGTCAATTCACATGCAAAAAAATGGCTCTCCCATTTGAATTAATAATGTCTTCCCATGAGCTTCCATTTTTCTGAATTTTTATTAAATTATACATTTTATTCTTTATTATATATCTTGAAATATAGATAGTTTGATCTATCTGTCTTCCCTACCAGACAGACAGTGCTTAGGGGCAGGAATTCTATTATTATTTTTGTATCACCATAGTGTCTAGCACAATGCTTCTTTCAGAGAAAACAGAGGATAAATGTATACTGGATTAGCAATTTTGATGGAGAGAGTAAATATTCCACTATACTCAGATCATATGTATAATATAGTGATATAGAGACTGCATTATGTAAATATGTGTTTAGAAATAAACTTGTCTAAACCTGTTAAACTTGCCAACTTTTTTTTTTGTTTATACTAATTTGTATGAAATTGTTATATTTGCTTACTCTAAATGACAGCTATCTACTCCTTGTAAGTTACAGTTGATTTAACCTTAACTTTATAGTATGGAACTATAGATGTGTGAAATTCAGATTTCTTTTTAATGCCATTATAATTTATAAGTGGGCAATGATTATTTTCTAAGAGGTAGAACCACATATATAGCCAACTCATTATAATCATTGACTTTAAGTATAAAAATAATAAAATATTTTCTACTATTTTAGACACTCTTCAATCACATTCACTCTGGAAATAGATAACTTTGCCTCATAGTAGAAAAAAATGAGTGACAACTAAACAATGATGTGGCTATAATAAAGAAAATATCATGAAACTAAAGCAACACCCAACTTCTATTTACTTTTGAGTACACATTCTTCAATTTTGTGCCAAAATATTTTTCCTGATTTTTCCCTAAAATAATTTAAGTGACGAAATTTATTAAGGAATGAAAAAAACAAAAAGTATTGCCATGGGTATTCAAATCACCCAGTTTTATTTAGGAAGGCATTTTATTCATGACTTTTGTCAAATGGAAAACAAAATGGCCTAATCAAAAAAAATGACATCAGCATATTTGATTCAATCTTGGAATTAGCGTGATCCATTAGCTACTGCATCAGATTCAGAATGTCTGATGCCAAAGTATTAAATAGAATAGTATCCCTCAAGAAACATACTACACATGTTGGGAGTTAGAAAATAACAAATTTTCTCTCTCATTCCATAAAGAACTGCAAACTGCTTAACTTTTTTCTCTGCTTCAGTTTCTTTGCGTTAAAAAAAAAGAATCGCCACTGTAACTGCCTCTTCCTCTATGGAAGCTGTGGAGATGAGTAACACTGAGCAAAATAACTTTGAATTCTGCAAAATAAGTATGTAAACATTTCTAATATTATATCTGCATAATCTGCATGTCTAGAGCTCTTGGAGTTTCCCTAGAACTTATCCACAGTTTAATGTACAGCAGGAATTACTATTTCATTATTATTTTACATTTGAAAAATCTAAGTATCAAAAAGCCATTTATCAAAGATGGTGCAACTAAATGAGTTAGGAGTAGAAAGAGTAGAATCAGAATGACTAACCCAATTTCTAATCACAGTGAATTGCACACGTATTAATATTAACCTAAAAAGATGATACAAAAACTGTATTTTAAGACATATAAGGGCAGATATAAATATACATGAACCATGTGAAAGCGATAAAATGTCTTCCTGAAAGTGACCAAGGCAGCAATAACCTCTGCCACATCATCAAACACACAGACATCTGAAGGTCACACTGACATCCACATCAATTAGACAGCCTGGCCCAAACTTGGCTCACCTCACTCAACTTCTCTTTTCATCATTGTTTTCTTCTTTTTCTTCTACCTTGTCTCTGTTGTTTTTAATGAACTACAGAAATAGGCTAGATTTCTCAGTGGATATGGGGTCCTACATATGTATCAAGGTAGACATTAAAGGTCTACTCTTCCCCAGGAGGAATCCCTGAAGTGTTCTAACCAATGGCTGCCTTTCAGCAAGCAGTATGCAACAGAGCAAGAAACATGCTGTGTTCTATGCAAGTGCCTCCAGAAATCACAGCTCTTCAAAGGGAGATTCTACTTTAACTGGTCACACCTTTCAAAGATACTTTATGATATTTTCTATCTTTAATGTCACATAGAAGGCTTATGACTTTTTATCTTATTTTGTTTTACCAGAAACCACCTATTACATAAAGAACACTTTCTATTAATTTCTTATAATAACATAATACATACACATATAAAATAAAAATAAAAAGCATATACTGTATACAAACATGTATACACATATACACATACATATATATGTTTTAAACAGACACATATATACATATGCATACATATATACACACATATATATGTTTTAAACAGGCACATATATACTTATGCATACATATATATACACACATATATATGTATGTTTGTGTGTGTATGTGTATGTGTGTGTGTGCACCTCCCCCAGAAGAATGACGTAAATATTTAAATGGAAAGTATTTATGGCAAGCAGACTCAAGATGGCTCCCAGTGACTCCCAACTTGTGGCATTCATATCCTTGTGCAATCATCTTCCCTTCAATATGGGTTGCCCTAGGAATTTGCAGCTAACCCATAGTGTATACTAAAGGTGATTGAATATGACTTCCATGATTAGTCTAGATAAGATTGTAATTTCTGTCTTCCTGTTTCTCTCTCAATAGGTTTAATGAAGCCAGCTGTCATGTTGATGAGACTCATGTGTCAAGGAACTGAAGATGGTCCATAGCCAACAGCCAGCCAGGAACTGATTGGCTAGTAGTCCTTGAGGAACTGAATCTCACCAACAACCATATAGTGAACTTGCAAATGGTGCTTCCTCAGTTGAAACTAAAGATGAGACTGAAGTCCTAGTTAACACTTTGTTTGCCACCTTGTAAGATTGTGAAACAGAGGCCTGAGCTAAGCCATGCCCAGATTCTTGATCCACAGAAACTGTGAGATAATAAATGTGCATTGATTTAAGCCTCAGATTTTGTGGTAATGCTTTACAAAGCAATAAGTAACTAATGCAGTATTCAACAAATTTTTTGAAAAAAAAAAGATGCTTGAAGACCTGTATTTAATTATTTTTGTGAAGAATACTCAATGTATACTGACTGCACCTGGGTTTTTAGTCTTAACCAAATCATATACCAGTTTTATGACCTGGCAAAAATGTTTTTCTCTCTCTCTAGAGGTCACTTTCTTCATCTGTTAAACGAGGTAATTAATTTAGATGATCTTTAAAATGTCCACTAGATTTCATACATCTATCACATATGATTTCATGTATATGTAATGAAAACAAATTTTATATATATACAAAATTTATTTTCACTTGCATTTATGAAACAGGAGAAACAAAATAAAATTACATTTATTTATTTTAATTTAATCTTGAAAGTAAATTCATGTTATCTTCTAAAAATGTTTCAGTTTACAATTCATCCATATTAACTTTAATAAAATGATATTTGGTTATCTAACGGAAGATTTATTGAAAATATATCTGCTTCAAATATCTCATTATTTTACATTTAGTAGCTAAACTAAATCTTAAAAATGCTTCTGAGTTTTACCTAAATGGGTAGTTTCTTAAAAATACTGAATTGAGGCTTCTAGCTAATTGCCTAAAATGTATATTTTAAAAGATAAGGAAGAAATTTAAATGTAGGGAATAAGATTAAATTACCAAATAAAATCCATTTTTTCTAGTAATTGGCAGATAAATTTAATACAGAAAAACTTTGTTATTCAATATGCCAAAATATCTAATATTAAAGTGATATACTAATAAATATATTTGGCATATTATTATGGTACTTTCAGTTCTCAAACTTTTAAAGTAAAAATATTGATCAAGATTTATGCATGACCACTTTTTTTTTTTTTTTTTTATTTAGACAGTCTCACTCTGTTGCCCAGGCCGGAGTGCAGTGGCGCAATCTCAGCTCACTGCAACCTCTGCGTCCAGGTTTCAAGGTATTCTCCTGTCTCAGCCTTCTGAGTAGCTGGGATTACAAGTGTGTGCCACCACACCTGGCTAATTTTTTAATTTTTACTAGAGACAGGATTTCACCATGTTGTCCAGGCTGGTTTTGAATTCCTGACCTCAAGTGATTCACCGGCCTCGGCCTCCCAGAGTGCTGGTATTACAGAGGTGAGCCACTGTGCCCAGCCAATTATTTCTTTTTGATGCAAGAAAATCATTTATGGTGCAGAAGTTGTCTATTTGTCTATTTTTGCTTTGGTTACCTATGCTTTTGAGGTCTTACTCAAGAAATCTTTGTCCATACCAATGTCCTAAAGTGTTTCCCCAATGTTTTCTTCAAGTAGTTTCATAGTTTCAGGTCTTACGTTTAAGTCTTTAATTCAGTTTGATTTGATTTTTGTATATGGTGAGAGATAGAGGTCTAGTTTCATTCTTCTACATATACAGTTTTCCTAGTAAAATTTATTGAAGAGACTGTCCTTTCCTCAATATATGTTATTGGTGCTCAGTAGCAAAATAGAATGACTATAGTTAACAATAATTTATTGTATATTTTAAAATAACTAGAGAGTGAATTTGGAATGTTCCCAATGCAAAGAAATAATAAATGTTTGAGGTGATGGACATCCCAATTACCCTGATTTGATCATTATATATTATATGCTTGTATCAAAACATCACATGTACCCCATAAATATGTACAACAACTATGTACCTATAAATATTGAAAATAAATAATTTTTTAAAAAGAAAATTCTGAATTTGAGATTTTAAAATCAAATTCAAGGTATAATACTGGTCAAAAATTGTGAACCAAATATGTTATTTTAGTTTTTTTATTGCTGTGGTAACAAATTAAAACAAACTTAGCCACTTAAAATAACACCCATTTATTATCTTCCAGTTTTTATGATTCCAAAGTGTTGGCTCAGCATGGCTCTACTGAATTCTCTGCTTAGGGCCCACGAGGCTGAAATCAAGTTGTCACCTAGGCTTTGTGTTTTACTAGAGGCTAGAGGAAAGAATTGGCTTTAATGCTTATTGAACTTGGAGGCAGAATTCATATTCTTCTCACGTTTTCAAGACAGCCAATGGGCAAAAGTACTCATACTTCAAATCTCTTTGTTCTCTGCTGAATCTGTCTACATTTAAAGACTCATGATATTACATTGAGCCCACCTGGATAATCCAGGATAACCTCCCTATTTTAGAACAATCTTCACTGCCTCTGCAATTTTTTTTTTTTTTTTGCCATGTAATATAACATAGCCATAGGGATGACACCAAGGGGTGAATGAGGGTTATGGGGCTCAAAATTCTGTCTACCACATATGATGGAGCTCTTCATTTTCCTCTCACATTATGAGATTCTCTATTAAGTGTTCAGTTTAATTATTCTTTTAGATATTAAATTTTAAAGGTAAGACCAAATTAACTTTTTAATATAAATGATAAAAGTTTACAAATATCCAACTATCTGTTACCCAAAAATTAATCTTTCAGAGTAAAAAGAATTTAGTTATGGAAATAATAAATTGAAAAGTTACCTTTCGCCAGTGTCTTTGTTTCTGGTTTTTCTTTTTTCTCAATTTTTTCCTTGTGAGTTGCTTAAACAGAAAATTTTACATTAGTACACATTTTTAATAGATTTCAAAACCAAGCTTTCTTTTGACCTCAGTTTCATAAGTGCTAAAACCTAATCTGTAATATTTTGAAAATGTATGACATTAATAAGTCTAATTCAGAAATAAAGAGTTACCAGTGTAATAACAGTTGTATTGAATTCAATGTTAAAGTCTAGGCATTAAGACTTAGCAAGCTTGTTGAAAATCAGATCTACTCTTTCTCAAGTCATTATTTCAAACAGGTAAAGCTTTCAGGGAAGACAAACTGAAAGGGAAAATTTTCTATAAGAATTTGTCAAAAAATATGTCATTATGTGTATTTTTAAATTTGAATTATATTAAATTGTGTTGTTTGGTAGTTTCCCAAATCATCATACATTTTTCAATATTTACATACTATTTTTTCAAGAATAACAATGGTAATTAAACTACGAAAATTAAGTAGTAAAATATGAGATTTAATTGGGCAGTTAACAAAGTGTATGCACTGATTTGTTAGAGGAAAAAATTAGTTCCACATATTTCCATTTCTCCTACTTCCAACAAGAATAGTAATAATGTACATCAGCTTTACTTACATCATTAAGAAATGCTTAAAATATGTATTTAAAAATCCATTATTTTTAAATACAGTTGATAAACAGTGTCCTCCAGAATCTTGGAGAGATGATTTAAGCCTCAGAAAGCCTAATATTCAGTTGAAGAGCAAGTGTCCCTAACACATGCAGAGCTGCTGAGAGACCAGGTGCCTCCTCCTCCAGAGTTTCAGCCTCTCCACCACTCAGGCCTGCCCACAGGTACCTCCACTACCACTTGGGATTATGGGTAATAGATTAGACAATGTTAACAAAAGGAGCATTATGCTAGGCTAAGCAAGGCACTATTCAAACAAGGTCACAGGACTACATTATAATAACATATCTCCTAAAAAGCAAACATCCTTTAATTGGCATAAGGTAAATAAAAGAGCACTTACAATGCAGCATTTTATTTCTGCTTTTCAATTTGAATACATTTTTTTCTGCAGCACTTATAATTTAAGGGCAAAAATTCCTAACTTTTTTTTTAACAGAAAACATTTAGCTACTGTAAAGTTTGGAAAAAAAATCACAAGAAATAGCAGATTATTTCATTGAGTCAGAATACACAGAGCCTAGTGCTAATAATTCTGCTTAACCCAATATCAGACAAGAAATGGTTACCTATTTCTAGAACAGAGAAAGGAGATGGCTATATTGAAGTTCATGGAAATTGAACATGAAGAAAATAAGATAAGAAAATAAGAAAATAAACATGAAGAAAATAACAATTATTTAACTGAAATTTTCTTTTTTTTCTGTAGGTTATTGGGGTCCAGGTGGTATTTGGTTACATGAGTAAGCTTTTTAGTGGTGATTGGTGAGATTTTGGTATTTTCAAGTGTAAATATACCATAAAAAATATTGAAGCATATTTCAACTTATCTGATTCCTAAATGTCATAATGTGTTCTACCTAACTGGAGTGTTTAACAAAACAAAAAACTTCAGCAGACTATGCATACTCTGGATGCATAAATCAGCTGAAATCTGGCCCAGCTATCCTAGACACAATCCACCCTAAAACAATGGCAAAAATTAAGTTAGAATCTTACTTCGTATCATACACTGAGATGGATTTTTGAGGAATTAAAGTTAAATTTAAAATGTGAAACAATCTTTTTTGGATGGGTGCTGTGGCTCACACCTGTAATCCCAGCACTTTGGGAGGCTGAGGTGAGCAGATCACTTGAGTTCAGGAGTATGAGACCAGCCTGGCCAACATGGCAAAAACCCATCTCTACTAAAAACACAAAAATTAGCTGGGTGTGGTGGCACATGTCTGTAGTTCTCATGCTGAGGCATGAGAATCTCTTGAACCCCAGAGGCAGAGGTTGCAGTGAGCCAAGATTGCACCACTGCACTTCAGTCTGGGTGGCAGAGTGAGACTCTGTCTCAAAACAAAAAAACAATCTTTTTTAAACTTGAGGAAAATATTGGTGGCTATTGAATTAATTCTTGAATGAAGATTCAAAGCCAGAAAGACCACAAGAAAATGTCAGCATATCTAACCACCTAAAAATTCAAGAATCTAAACATATGCACACATGCATACATACATACATGAACTCACACATGTCCGTTCACAAAGACAGAAAGCATAATATTAACTGTGAAACAAATTCAGAAAAATATTTGAAAATAAGTTATAGATGAAGGGTATACATACCCAAAACACACACACACACACACACACACACACACACATATCATTAGGAGAAATGGGCAGTGAGTGTGAACAGTTACACATGATATATACATTGCTAAAAACCATATTTGAATCTTTCAACTTATAAATAGTAAGCAGTTAAAAATACTTTGCAGAGACATGGATGAAGCTGGAAGCCATCATTCTCAGCAAACTAACACAGGAACAGAAAACCAAACACTGCATGTTCTCACTCATAAGTGGGAGTGAACAATGAGAACACATGGACTCGGGGGTAACATCACACACTGGGGCTTGTCAGGGGTTTGGGGGCAAGGGGAGGGAGAGCATTAGGACAAATACCTAATGCACGCAAGGCTTAAAACCTAGATGACAGGTTGATAGGTGCAGCAAACCACCATGGCACATGTATACCTATGTAACAAACCTGGACATGTATCCCAGAACTTAAAGTAAAATTTAAAAAAAAGAAAGAAAAACTAAGAAAACATGACACCTTCAAAGGAACACAATAACACGCCAGTAACAGGCCTCCAAAAAAGGGAAATCTATGAAATGCCTTTCAAAATAATAATCTTAAGGAAACTCAGAGAGAAAAAAAGAGAACACAAATAAAAAATACAAAGGAAGGAGAAAAATAATTCATGATCTGAATGTGAAATTCAGTAAAGAGATAGATATCATAAGAAAGACCCAAACAGAAATCCTAGAAATGAAGAACTTAATGAATAAAATAAAAATTAAATTAACTTTAACAATTAACTAGATTATCAGGAAAAAATACAGTGGAAGAACATTCTCATTTAAACACTATGCAGCTTTTTAAAGAGAATGAGGACAATATTTAGTGATATGAGAAGATTTCAGGATATATTGTTAAATTGTAAAAGTCAGATTATAGGACATACTAGATTTTGTGTAAAAATAGGGAGGAAAATAACATGGATTATCTGGAAAACATACAATAAAGCTCTGGAAGGATGCATGTAAAATTCACATGAGTGGTCTACTGTATGTGGGTTTGGCATGAAATGGGAGCCAGTAGGCTGGGAGCAAGGTGAGAGGAAGGTTTTCACAAAGTATCTTTATGTGTTGAGCAATTAGAACTTATTATCTATTCTACATAAATAAATAACAATTAGAAATTAAAGCAATCTAATAGATAATCAAAATATGCAAGTTATAATAATGAGATCTACTTTCTTACCTATCAAACTGACAAGTATTTCTGATATAATATCCTCACTGCTGGCTAAGGCAGTCTCAAAACTGCCAGAGGAAAAACTGACGCAACATTTCTGGAAAGTTACCACTTTCCAGTTCAACAGTTCTTAACAGTCTGAAGTATTTTATTTCTCTCAATCCAGAAATTCCTTTTTTCAGATTCTATTCTGAGAAAATAATCCTAATCTAATTTGTAAAACTGCGTGGTCATCTAAAATCTGAATGTAAAGAGTAGGAAGTCAATGGGAAAGGACTCAGTGTGTTAAACAGTAATAAAAGTAACTTCATACCTTTCTTTTCAGGTTTTTCTTTTTCTCTTACTTTTTCTTTTCCTTTTTCTTTTTCTTTGTGTGTAACTGAAAAGAAACAGATAAATAGTTTTCATTTAAATAACAGGAATAAATGAGGAGATGTTTGCACGGCAGTCTTTGATGTCAAAATTTATCTTCTGTTTTTAGAAATCTTTCTTTAACTGGATTCAGATTTTATGTAGTTAGAGGTTTAAACTTCAAGATAATTACAGATTTATTTCCTATTTCTATTTTATTTCATATCCAAGCACAAACTAGTACCCAAACCAAGTCTGATTGCAAAGATAAGAATACCCCCGTCAGCTTTTCCAAATCTTTAATTGAAATAATTGGAAAATTTTAAAAAATTATTATGCCATATGCCAAAGGAGCCCGGCTTTGATATTGGATGAATGCTTGAAATATGAGGATGAAAATATAGAGACATAATTTTCTGATCTTGAAGCAAAGAACTATCAACTTAAACAGTATGTGTTAATCGTCTACAGAAACATTCTACACTAAATGTTTTAAAAAATATACTGGAATAAGACTATAAAATACCAAATCTTTCCAACAAAAATAAAATTTAATTTAATATGAGCAGTGATCTCATCAATTATTACAACAGGACTAAAATTTAAGTCATAATCTTACCCCATACCTTAGTCATAATTCTTATTCATTATCCATGCTAGAAACATGAGACTCATCCCAATTTGTCTTTCTCTTATATTTTTCCTTTTCATTCATTCACCACGCTCTTTCAATCATGTCTTTTTGATATTCCTCTTCCTCATTTTCTTTTATCCAATATTATTTTCCCTAACTATCATTTATTTATACAAGAATATAGAAAGAACACTTGCTATGTGCTAAAGACTCTCCTCAACAAGATAGAGTTCATTCCTGTCGCCATGATGTCAATAAGCTAATGACTAGTGGATGCTAAGCAAATAATTACAAAGGTGGGTAACTGCAGGGAGTCGAACTGCTATGAAGAAAATATGTAAGGTGGAATGTTGATGTATGAAATGACCTAATCTAATCTGTTTGTTAGGGGAAGAGCCCTTGGCAGAAATGACATTTAAGAGTATGAGAAATGAGAAGAAATTAGCCTAGTAAGAGATTAGGAGGGAAAAGGGGAAGAGACCAATTTCCAGTTCAGAAGTTGAAGCAGGATGTCTCTTTTGGGCATATTATTATACCTATCATAATATTATAATACCCTGACTTCTCTTTTGAACCTTTAGATTTTATATTTTTATGTCTCATATTAACCTTTCTAACATGAAAATTCGATATCATTGACTCCTCTGTTACAAATATTAGTGCCTCCTCACTGCTTAGTATGGTATCTGTCACATAGTGGGTGCTATATCAAAATAAAAATATTTTACTGCTCTAGTGATCTGACATTTTCTTACCAACCCCATGTTTACCAACCCAATGTCATCTACAAAGAATTTCTCCTTGAACTTTATATTCTCATTATAACTAAATGCTAGTAGCTCCACAAGCACACCACATGCCCTCATGATGCCTTTATGTCTCTGCCTGTATGTGTCTTCCACCTAGAATTACCACACCCACATTCATTCGTTTTCCTTTCCCTATTCCATGCACTCTTTCCTCTTGGTTCAAATGCCTCCTTCTCTGTAACATTTTCTTTGATCTCTATTTATTCCATTCACCAATTGCACCATGTACATAATTATATTTCAGCAATTCAATAATAATATTGATATTGTTAATATCTCTACTCAGTAAATGAAATCCTTAGGGGCTACATCATATTTATTTTATTTTTTTACATTTCCAAGTCATCACAAGGTCTCAGTCACATAGTGGACTCTGTAATATTTTTGAATAAGTGAAATTCTAAAATATGTTAAGAGCTAGTTTTATCGTCTAGTTAAATTCTATTTATGGATGATGATGTGGTAGAGCTATAATAGACACTGCTTGCTTCCAATTATGTGAAACTTTTGACAATTTATTGAAATTTCTCAAATAATCAAAACCTAATGAGAAAAAGGAGAAAAAAACTCACCTTAAAACATTGAGATATTATTTTTTTCCACATTTAATGGTTCTTTTAGTTGTTTATTCGCTACTCAGTTCAATATAAATAGCTCACAAAATAAGGCAAGGAAATCACTATTCATACTGACCACAAATGGTTTATTTTGGTTCCTTTGAATCCCTATTAATTAAGCAGAAAACCAAGAGAAAATCTTGGCAAAAACAAAGCGTCTTTTAAAGTTTCTCTGAGGGGGAACCAAGTTTGTGTGAGATAAGCTGTGCTTTCAGAGCCCTGATTGGAAAGACCCACAGGGGAACACCTAATCTGTGTCTCTGTCTCTGTAAGGAATGAGGACTCACCCACCTTGGACAGCTGGTTGTCCATTCCACTAAAGGATTTTCAGATTGACGTGTGCAAAGGCATAAATGGGAGAATTAACACAAAATCAAAAGAGCAAAGGGACTGAATTCGGACTGAAATTAGCATATTAATGCCTCATTCCTGTTACCCTAGGGAGAAATCCAGTTCCTCCCAGTTGAAGTGTTGATTTACAGACCCTGTACTGTATGCTAGCATTTTATTATCCCCCTCAGAAATGGCATCACAACACTTCTTAGTGAAGCAGCTGGACCCTTGGGCCCTAGGGAGCTGTTCATAATGGCAGACAGCCACTGAAGCTCCTTGGACAGAAACTTCAAACTTTGGCAAGACTGTGCTCAAATACCAAGTTTTGAAATGACTTTCAACACAGCAATGCAACAATCAGCAACTGCCTTGGTAATCACTCTAAAATAAAAATCACCTATAGAGCAGCTGCATTCGCTTGAGCGTCTCTGCTTAGAGCCCACAACCAGGAGTTTTCATATGGAAGAAGAGTACCTCCTTGTCACCAGCCCTATTTGGCAAGTTATATCTTAGCCAGGACAGTTTTTAGCTCAGGACAGAATAAGCTTCTTGCACCTGCTAGAGTTTAATTTGTTTGTCATCCTTATTTACAAGAAACAAAAGTCCCTTCGGTATGCTGATAATTAAAAACAAATGGAATCCACCAGTTGGAATGGCCCTGATGTCTGGCATCTGAGTTGGCATGGGCCTGCTGTTCCTGCCCTTGCCCAGACTCTGACCTTTCCCTGACCAGAACATTCAGCTCAACTGGACCCAAGCACATCTCTCACCCTCCCATCTGGCCCCTTTCCAGCCCTCCCCAAGCTGTGCTCTGTGTTTTTGTTTTTGACCCTGGCAGTCACCAGGCAGACTATGTCTTTTTCTCAAGTATATCAGAGCTCATAATCTGCCTGACCCTGTGGTTTTTTTTTTTTTTTTTTAAACAGGGAAAACACTCCCTTGGGGTCAAATCATGGGAGCCAGGTTATCAGAGTTCTTTACTTAATCGTCCTGTTCTTAGGTTGAAAATCAAAAATTGTAATGCCAAAATTTGTAAAGTACTGATTTGTATAGGCTACTACATTCTTCAATTGATGGCTAGCAAATCAATTCAACCAAACTCTAGAACATACTTGACTTTAGACTACTGCATAGGACTAATCTTGAGTACCCAACCAAAAAAAAAAAATCAGATGGATAATCAGGTAAGCATTATATCTTTTCATTATTAACAGAAAAAATCTTTGAGGAGCATCATTACCTGTAATAAATTTTACTGATTTTTCTTTTAACTAATTCCTCTCATTTTCACATTTCTTGTGCTTTTTTGTTAGGTATTAGTGCTAAAATACTCTATAGACTTTAAGTAGGTGAACATTTCAAACAGCTTCATAAAATTCATATATATCTATATTTTAATTTGTAATGTTTTATGAAAGAGCATGATACACATTCATTTTAAACCCTTAAAAAAATTCTGTTTCAGCCACCATTAAACAATAAGGCCAGATCTCTTGGTTAGTGTGTATGTCTTTGTGTGTATGTTTCTTTTTTATTTTTGGTAGCTAATTTGTAGAAGTTCAGTTCTGTGGTAAGGCAAGATGATCTCTATGCTTTTTAAGAGAAAATCATGAACTTAATAGAAATGCAATATTGAGTTAAAAATCTTCTTAAATATTATATTATCCATTTTTCCTAAAGGAAGAATTTATTATTTTAACTTTAATATAAGCATGCAATTTCAGAGCTGATAGGAATATAAGAAGTAACTACCCTGAACTTCTTTGTCTGTGGATAAGAAAATATGCTCATAAGAGTCCGTGACAGACCAGGAAAAGAATGTAGTTATCTAATTGCTAAACCAGGACTCTCCTTCAAAACTACGCAGCCATGTCTGTTCCAGGTTCTGTGCAGACTATAAACTTGTTCTCATAAGCCAAAATGTGCTGACCGAATTCTCCAAGCACATTATCTGTGATCTACCTTCCAATAATGCACATACTTCTTTTTCATAATAAAAGTACTTTCATTTACCTATTAAAGTGAAGATCAGGCAAATTACCCAAAGTTGTAAAGCTAATCTGATACTTACGCGTTAAATCACAAAAGATATTTTATAATTCTAAAATATTAGTTTTATTTTCAAATTCAATTTAAATGTATGGACAATTTCCCCTTCTCCTGGGGCTACATAGCCATAGTAAGAACTGTAATCGCTTTCTCATAAGTGAACATTCACTATGGACACTGTGATGCATAGCTTTGTGCACACTCTTCTGGTTTCCTTGTCCAGGTTTATTTTTCATGATTGCCAGAGAGGGAAAGAAAATATATTTTGTACTTTAAGGAGTTAATGAAGTGCAGCTAAGAGAAGACAAAAATAAAAGTTTATACAGTACAGGAAGACTAAATGAATTTGTGGGCTTTAAGAGCATTTTTATAAAGGGCTTCAGGATATTTAAATATATTTTAATGTATTTGATTGCATTTTGACTTTTGAGCCTCACCATCAGCTAAATCCCTTGTCAGCCTATGACTCCAATCCTGCAATTGTTTCCCAAAAACTGAAGGAGTTCTAGACAAATCAGTGTTATTATTCTGAATCACCCTTTTTAAAAACAATCCTTTGTTTTTTGTGCATATGATATTGTTATGGGTTGAATTGTGTCTCCCCAAAAATATATGTTGAAGTCATTAGCCCCAGAGCCTAAGAATGTGACTTTATTTGGAAATAAGGTTTTTACAGAGACAATCCAAGTTTAAGTCATGAGGCTAGTCCCTAATCCAATAGGACTGATGTCCTTATAAAAAGAGAAATTTGGGTCCAGAGAAGGATATGCACAGAGGGAATGCATATCCTGTGAAAAGACAGAGACACAGGGAGAGCATCATTTGAAGATGAAGGCAGGAATTGGAGAACTTCATCTACAAGGCCCCAAAGCTTGCCCGCAAACCTCCAGAGGCCAGGAGAGAGGCATGGAACAGATTCTTCGTCACAGCCCTCAGAAAAAAACTCATCCTGTGGAAACCTTGACTTTGGACTTCCAGCCTCAATAAGGTAATATTAAGGCTAATGTTAAGAATAATAGTAATAATTAGACTTCTGTTGCAGCCCTTGAACCAAGTTCCCACCTGGTTCCCTGAGGACTGATGTCAGCTTAGCTTTTGTGTCTTCCCTGTTAAGCTTCAGAGTCCACACCTGAACCAAAAACCACTAATTCCTCTGAGGTCCTTCCAGAAAACTGCAGACAGACTTACTCAACAACTGAGGTTGCCAAACCCCAAACTACATCTCTCCTCGAGGACATCTCTGTGAAGTACTTACTACACGTGGTATAATTGTGTATTTACTTTTTCAAATTTATCATTAACTGGATCTTATTCATCATGGAATTTGTAGTGCCCAGTATGGTGTTTGGCACAAAGTAGGTACTGTGAATAAGTGAATGTGTATTATCACCTAGTGGCTGTGACCACTTTTTCCATTTACACTATCTGCCTGCCAGAATACACCCTATTCCCGCTGTCTAGCCCACTCTGAAGCTGACCATATGCTGTCTCTCCAGTATACATTTCTGTTAAGTAAACTTCTCCATTTCTGAGGTCACTTTTTCACCCAACCACCTGACAATACAGGTGGATGTAGCAGAAACCTACTGTTCTGCCGCCTACCGGGCCATCCTATTGTCTAGGAGCCTTCTTGGAAAAAGTTCACATATTTAGTTATATATTTACCACTGGGTTCCTGTCTTTTCTGATTTGTTCTGTTCTACAAGTAAATTGACATGTCTATTAGTTAAATAGAAGCCGAAATCTTATCTAATATCACCAATAAAATTCACAATTGCAAAAAAATAAGGCAATATACAATAAACAAACAACTACATGGGGGGGGAAAGCCAGAGGAAAATTAGAAATACATTACTATTTTTCTCCAGTTAATTGGATTGTGGGGGTGCGGTTCCTCTTTTTTTTTTTTTTTTTTTTTTGCATTTTCCAAATCATCCATATTTATCTGTACTATTATAATTTTAGTTGTTTCAGTGTGGGTGTTTTCAGATTACATATTACAGAAAGTTTTTGTTTTAGTATGAAATTGTTTGTTGCCACTAACCACAGACATTTGACTTAAATTACAGTGGCTTAATTAAAGCTAAATGGAAAGTTGTCTGTAGGAATGTCAAATGCAAAGTTGTCTGTAGGAATCCAGTAGAGATTAACAAAACAGAAGAATACTTCGTTCACAAATTAAATCGTTATTTCAGTATTTATTGAGTGTGTTGGGTACTGTTAGATGTTAGAATGATTTTTAATTTGATATAAGCATACAAATTCAGAGCTGGTGAAAACCTGAGAAGACTATGAGCCCATATCCCTTTGTTCATGGATAACAAAACAGAATCATAAAAGGGAGTGGCAAGGCTGCCCTAGAACATACATGAAGACAAACATAGTTCCCTCCCTCAGTTAGTTAGATCGACATATACCCACAATTAAAATATGTTGTCAAAGTGCTTGGAAGAGCAAAAGCTGGGGTGGAACAGCATGGACAAAGTGCTTAAATGCCCCCAGTGAAGAACAGCAGTGGGGACTTCTTAAAGGAACTGACACTCCGTATGAGAATCAAAGAAATAAGCAGGCTTTTGCCAAGGGACTACACAGGAAGGGCTTGATGGCTGGAGAGAAGAGAGCATACAAAAAAAGTGCACAGTTATGAGACAGTGACAATGCCTGTTCAGGGACTACTCAACAGCTCAGCCTGCCTGCAGTACAGGGGGCATCAGTGGGGTCTGGAGTGCTAAGGGTGGCAGGGAGGAGGAGGCTGTATCTGTGAGAAAGCTTGGTAAGGAGGTAGCAGAACAGGGAAGACATGATAAACTACGAAGCTGGAACGCTGTAGGGGTAGCAGTGATCATATGCCAGGTTGGAAAATGTCACTTTTATCTCTTAGCACTGGGGCACCAACAAATGGATTTAAGCCCGTAAGTGACTGGATTAGCATGGACCTGAGGGGTTAATGCTGGGAAATCAGTTAAGAAGTGACTGTCACAATTTAATTGAGAGATGATTGTGGAGAAGATAGCAGTTGGAGAAGAGAGAAAGTAGACTAAATTATAGTACGGAGGAGCTAAGTAGGGTTGAGCTCTACTGCTGAAAGAGACAAAAAGGTCTATGGCAGGGACAAGCTTTGGTGTTGAAAGAGAACAAGAAGTCTATGGCAGGAACTAAAATTCAAATGCCTTCATAGATGAGACAGGTAAATTAACAGGTACCCCAGTGGTGAAAGAGGGAGTGGTGGAGACTGTCGTAAACAGAGGGTGCAGGCCCCACTTAAAGGCATCCAGTTACTCATTATCTAAAACACTGGCTCGTCAAAAGAAACCACTGTGGGATATATTTGAACTCTAAGCCATGAGTTCAACAGACAGTGATTCTAACCCTGGCTACTCATTTGAATCATTAGGGCAGCTAGGCCCAAACCCTGGCATTACTTCTCAAACATTAATGGCTCCAGGCTGGAGTACGCACATAGATACATATTTAAAAGCTATCCTGGTGATCTAAAGTGCAGTCAGGGTTGAGTACCACCCCTGGCAACAATGGCTTCTAGATGTTTAGCATGAATAATTTGGGTGGACAGTGATGTCAGTCATTAGGACAAAGAATACAGACAGGTGCAGACATTTTCTGCAATAGATGTTAATATGGGCTTGAATACATTAGATGAAAGAAGTCTGTTAGTTACCTGTGTAAAGTCAGGTGGGAATTTTATAAGAAGGCTCAGAGACTTTATATTCTATACTTTCAGCCTTTTCAAATATCAAAATTAATTAACCACTTGGGCTCCTAAATTAGTTGATGGCTTAAATAGAATGCTAAGGGATTATCCAATTAAGAAAATACTCAGGATATTCATGACATTCTTAAGATTTTATTTAAGATATGTGCACATTAAAGATGCATTTTTAATGAGGAATTTATATCTTAAGGGAATGATGGCACTACATTGGCCATACACAAACTGTGTCCTATTGTCAAGGTGACTAAGCTCTTCACATATAGTAAGAAAAGCAAAACAAAAACAAAACAAAATTTTAATACCACCAAAAAACAAAAGAACTCATCTTGCTGCCTAAGGAAAAAGCAAAAATAGTAGTTATTCTGATTTGTTCTGATCTCTCAAATAATGAAATTTTGAAATTTCAGAAATGTTCATAAACCTGAGTTCCATAAGCATAGTAACTTTACATCTTACTTTTGCTATGCTGATACCTGAAGATATACAAAAGTCTTTGTGATAATGCTGCTATTTTTCTACCATGAACTGTAAACTTGGTAATATTTGCCATTTTGTGGTTTCTATCTTTAAATACTTTTATCTTTCTATTCACAAACATGAAAAATTGCTTAACATCAGTAACCATCAGAGAAATGCAACTCACAACCACATTGAGATATCATCTTACATCATTCAGAATGGTTACTATTAAAAAGTCAAAAACAACAGATGTCATGGATGCATAAAATAGAGAACACTTATACACTGTTAATGGAGATGTAAATTCATTCGACCTCTATGGAAAACAGTATGGGGATATCTTAAAGAAGTAAAAATAAAACTACCATTTGACCCAGCAATGCCACTATGAGGTATCTGCTCAAATGAAAAAAAATCATTATATAAAAAAGACACCTGCACTCACATGTTCATCACAGCACTATTCGCAGTGGCAAAGTCATGGAACCAAACATAAGTGTCCATCAGTGGCTGATTGGGTAAAGAAAATGTGGTATATATACACCATGGAATACTATTCAGTCATAAAAAAGAATGGAATTATGTCCTCTGCAGCAACATGGATAGAGCGGGAGGCCATTATCCTAAGTGAACTAACTCAGAAATAGAAAATCAAATATTGCATGTTCTCACTTACAATTGCTACACATAGACATAAAGACGGAAATAACAGACACTAGGGATCTCAAAAAATGGGGAGATTGGAATGGGAACTGAGGCTTGAAAAATTACCTATTGAGTATTATGTTGAATATTTGGGTGATGGACACACTAGAAGAGCTCAATCCCCATCATTATGAAACATACCCAAGTAACAAACATGCACATGTATCCCTTGAATCTAAAAGTTTTTTAAAAAAAACTTGTATTTTTATATTTAATTATCAGTCCCTCTAAACTCTGACTGACTGGCATGCATGCTTGTCAAGACTTCTTTCTAAATGGGGCCTTTAAGTAATCCTTTGACTCCACGATGCTGTTTAAGTAATTAGATCTGGTGATTTGAAGTTTATTTATTGAAAAGACAGTGGAATAGGCCAAATAATGGCCCTCTAAAGTATAACTATATCCTAGTCTCTGGAATCTGCGAATGTTACATATATATATGGACTTTGCAATGTGATTAAGTCAAGGATCTTGAGATGGTGAGATTATCTTGGATTATTCAGGTGGGCCCAGTTTGTGGTAATTTGTTACAGCAGCCACAGAAAACTAGTACACCTATGACAAGCCATCTGACACATCTACCAAGATAAGTACTGCCACATCTCATTTCTCAGTTGTGTTAAGACTGAAAATAGTAGAAAGGGGATTTAAAGATGCATACAGTCTATGCATCTTTATATGGTGTCTACTATACAGGTAAGCTATTAGAATTAGGTAAGCCCACATCAGGCTACGTGGCACACAGACTGATGGGAAGAGAACAGAGATGGTATCTAGGAACTGATAGATATGTACAAATGCAAGCAGATCAGTGAGGTCAACCAGCAGGAAGCAAGGTTCTAACCACAGGGTTTCAGAGACAAATTCTAGATCCTATGGCTATGAGCAAATTCTGGTGCTACAGACTCAGCAGGCACCAAAGAACAAAAAGAAGAAAGAAAATTGGATATAGGATATACTGGAAAAGCCACATGTTCTTACGTTAGAGATAACAGGCAAAAATGTGGCTCTACAAATTACTAAACTTGACACAATGATTGAATCCAGGTAAACCTACGTATTCTTAGTTTAAATGGAATTATATCTACTGTGTTAGATTGTTCTATGAAGATTAAGTGAAATATTAGACATAAAAAATTATATACAGTATTTCATCCATAGTAGATAAACACTCATACAATATTAAATTTTTAAGAAGGGAAACACAAATATAGAACTGACAAGGCAGTAAAAGTAGTTTAGGGTTGTTACAGGAACTTGGGATGACACATCTTATATTTGTTCAGCCTATGATGAGACAGATATCAAATGATACTAAAGATAGAGAAAAAAGGAATTCAGATAAGAAAACTGTAAGGGACTCTCATCCAGTTAGAGGTGGTTAAGATGATTAATTAATTAACTGATAGTTACTGTTTAAAATTAGTCAATAATTATTTTAAGAATTTTACAAGTACATTTCATAATTATTTAATTCTTATGACAACTCTATTATCCCCATTTTACAGATGATGAAATAAAGGCAAAGAAAGATTAATTATCTTGCCCAAGGACACATAGCCAGAAGTTACCAAATTTGGATTCTAACCCAGATAATTTAATTAAAGACCTTTCTAAAAGTAGAAAAAGGTTATGGTAACATCACCCTTTATGAAAATCACACACCATGCTTTAGTTTATTTATTAATTAGAATATCTGAGTATTTACCACGGGTAAAGGAAATGTTCTTTAATAATCATGACTTGGACCTTTTATTTATGACAAATAACATTCTCTTTAATTCTTTGAAGTTAGTCTGTATATATCTTTTTATTTAAAACATCTGTGGGCAGAGTTATTTATGATTACAAAGGAAACTCAGACTGTTGACTGCTAGAGAAGACTGGTTAACATTTCTTATCATTCAACATGTGGACCATGGGTATCCATTGTTGGATATAGTTTTAAATATGATTATATTCCGCAAGATCATTTTGACCTATAAAAACTTTAATTTGAAACCATCACCCTAATGTGGAATCAGCGTTCTTGGAGGTAACTTGTACTAGAGCACTCTGCTTGGTACTCAAAACTACTCCATTGTGGTTAACTCATTCTGCCTGTTCCCCAGGGGCCATTTATATGAGTCACAATTTAGTTAATGATATGTGGTAACCCAAAAAATGTTAAATTATGGTTGGAAGTTTTTTCTAAGCAAATGTAATGTTCCGCTATATTACTATATAAATTCAGAACAAGGTCACATACAGTATTCTGATTATATTTATAAAATAAAATAAATTTCTACCTCTTTTATGAGGTACTGTATGTGACCAATACAAGGTCACATACAGTATTCTGATTATATTTATAAAATAAAATAAATTTCTACCTCTTTTATGGGAAAAAATCCAAGGTTAACTTAGTTTAAGGTAAACCTTAACTAACATGTCAGAGCTTGTGTCCTAAAAACATAATAAGTATTCATTGCCTGGTTATCATTTAAAAGGCATATTCTTTAGCTCCATAAACTGCTGCATTCTTCCCTGAGGAAAATATCGAACAAAATAAACAGAGGGACAAAGTAGAAATAAAAGTTAGCTTGATATGATAAAGTAAAATTATTTAATGTGGTTGCCTATAAAAGTATCTAATTTCTTAAGAAAAAGAGTCAGAATTGAAACTCATTATTTGACACTATAAAATCAATTAGTTAGAATATTAATATAGAATTGTTTTAGAAATATATATCCTGTGGGATTACATATTCTGTGTGATTTTTTTTTTGCATCCTTCTTGATGGGTCAATTATATAGGTGTAGACTCCCAAGGCTCTCCCGATGAGTTCCATGCTTCTAAAACCTTTCAGAATATCATATTGTCCCTTGAAGGGGAAAAAAACTATAGAGAAATAGAATGTGATCTAGCTTCCACCATAACGAATATCTTTTGTCATCCCACAAAACACACCAGCTTGAGCATAATGAATCTTTTTGGTCTCAGATATTTATTGACTCATTTATAATCATCACAGACTACTACTACCTTTCAAATACTGTATCTTTTCTTCTAAGGGTTCAAAATGCTTTGATAATAACTTAAATTCCTAACTATCCATCACATACAACCATAACTGACATGGAACATGGCATACAGAAAACAGTATTTATCCACATACAAGAGCAGTTGTAAAGCAAAACATTTATTTTCACTGAACTATTTGAGAATAAAGAGCAGGCATTAGTCTACCCCATTTACAGACGGGAAACTAAGCAATAAAGTGAAATCTTTTGTTCATATTCACACAGAAAAACTGTGGAAAACATAAGCTCTCTCTGATTTCCAGCTCAGTGTGGAGCAACTGAAGCTCTACTTTCACTTTCTTAAGAAATAGTTACTTTTACAAAACATATTTGGTCTACTCAAGAAATATATTCAGGTTGATAATCTCCAGCTCAGTCTTTGAGAAATTTATTTTAGACTTCAGCCAAATTCACTGTCTTAATTATGGAAGACTTGCTAGTTTAATAAACCTACTCTACAGCCCACTGCTCGGTCTTTGACATCAGAATTCTAATATAGCCAGGTCCAAAATGCAAATGGTGCCATCTACATTACTACCGCCACTCCAGCAGCACTGTTATTAAATTAATAGCACAGTCTGCAAGAAAAAAACAGCAGGGACCCAAATGGTGTGGAACCAGTTGAGTTTCTGTTTAACCTTCAGCAGATAGAAACACAGAGCCAGTTCAGTCATGGTTCGCTTAGTCAATCCGTACTCAAGAGCTGTGTCCAACTTCTGTGATCAAAGGAATTAAGAACCGAAAAAAGGAAAGAGAACAGTAAGGAGACATTAGTTTCCTAAGTACAAATATAAATAGGTTTCAACTGAGTGAGCTTCAATGTTCTGATTGTTGAAGAATTGGCTGACCAATCTAGAATGAATTCAAACATTAGGATTAAAGACATAATATCTGTAGAATGATTTGAGCCCTTCCCAAAAAGAAAGCACATGAAGTATATTTTAAAAACAACAGCAACAACATGGCATTGTATTAATATAAATTCACGTGCTAGTATAATTTAATTGATACTTTTATTATTTGAAAATTTACTAGCTGCAACTGTGGTATTTACTACAGATAATTTTGCATTAGCTGGTTTATGACATAGTAAATACTGGATAAAATTCCATTTTTATCTCAGAAATAAATTATCTCATTTTCTGTCTGCATTATACAAATATAGTTATTATGAGATCTTTATTTTTGCCCTGGCTCATTCAAAATCATGTGAAACTGACCATTGGGAAAACCTGGGCACGCTTAGAAGAATATATTTTTGAATGTCTTGCTTCCTATTAGTTTCTTTAAAGTTTTATGACTATCTCTGTCACCCACAGAAAAGTTATTCTTATAAGATAAGCAAGACAATGCTGGCCTTTCTTAATTTGCTTCTGCTGCAAGATTGCCATTACTGGATTCAGTTCAGCTGAAAGTGATATTAATCATCATGCTGTCACTGTCCATCTACCTCTTGAGGCTGTGCAGGAGAGCCGTGGGGCTTTCTTACATGACCTCTGCCATGAGGTCATATAATGACTCTGCATTTCTACACCAAAGATTGTAAAGATATTGCATGACAGAAGGAATTCAGGTTAAAAAAAAATAAACTCTGACTTGTTACACTAACTTCTTAAAAGAAAAAAAATTATTTCCTCAGTAAATCAATATGTATTTGAGCTACTCTCTTAGTAATTGTAAATAATTTAAAAATTATTACACATTTTGAAGTTACTTTGATTCCATCTATTAAATATTATTTATGTTATTTATACATTTATAACTGAAATTAACTGATATACATTTATAACTGAAATTAACTGAGGAGTAAATTTAGTTATTTAATATCAAAAATGTTACAAAAACACTAAACATGAAATTTTTTCTCGCATATGAATACACAAAAATGTATATCTAAATGAAGAATAAACATAAAATGAAATGTTTACCTTTAGTTTGTATTTTCCTTTCAGGTTTCTCTTGTTTTTCAGTCTTATCTTTGTGTATTTCTAAGAAAAAATAGAATTTATAATTTTAAAACTCTGAAAATGTATAAAATTTAAGCCATAGCTATGACCTAAACTTTATAAACCTACCACAAAGTTTAAATTATTATACAGTTACTAACAAGTTTATTGGAGTCTAAAAGAGTCTTTGTAACATATTGCTAAACAAATCACTTATTTATTGAAATAAGGGAAAAATTGGAGTTATCTCAAAATTAGAGTTATTTGGAAAAGCTTAAACATTTAATAGACAGAGCTATGTTGTCACCATTTTCAGTGCTAAAATTGGTCACAAACTATAATTATTTTTATTTCAATTACTCTCAATACAAATTAAGAATCCTTAATAAGAATGTCATTTAGATTTAGGAAGATTTAGTTTTTACATATTAAATTAAGAATTTGTGAAATGAACTGTAACAACTATCTAATAGGAAATATATTTCAGAAGTATTGACTCTAAGCTATGTTTATAATCAGCATTTGGCATTACATTTAACCAATAATTACTGCAAGCAGATATGACACATTTCATAGAATAAGTTAGTTGTACTTTTTTTCTAAACATCAGGTTTTAGCAAATATATTCAATTTTCTGCTAGCTTCAGTATACATACATTACCAAGGCTAAGAAAATGGAGTTAATTCTGAATTTACAGTTAATTTGGATAGAAGTGAATTTGAGATTAGAGTTTACAAATATGATTGCTACCTTTGAAAAGTGACTTAATCTTAAATATAGTGTTTTTTCTTAGAAAAATGCTAATGAGGTTTACTTATTTATTTATCACAACTTTATTCCACAGATGGTCTGAGATGGTGTTAATTACTGTACACATTTTAAATTCTCCATTTGTAAATCTGCATTTGCATTTTTGTAGTTTTTCCAAAAGTCTACTAAATTAAGATCAACCATGGCAACACCCTAAATATCTTCAGAAAAGACAGCTACTAGCTTTCATTCACCTGTTAAGGAGGTAACCACCATTGTGAAGGTTTTCTTCCTAATTTTTCTCATTAATCAGTTATCTTACTATTTACAGGGTCACTAATCTACTCTTATCTCAACTGTGACTTTGAATATGGTGATGAAGATATGAACAGGTAAGGCACTCATTCTTGTCCCTGAAAACAATTCTCCAAAATGTAAGGAAATATCTCCAAATGACATAGGAAATGCCCATCTTCCTGTCTCTCTCACCATTTTGTTTATTTCTTCTCTAGTCTCCAAATTTTACTCTACAGCAGGGTTTCTTACATTAGCACTTTTGACATTCTGAATTGGGTGAAGCATTATTTTGGGGAGGGGCTATTTTGTGCATTTTAGGATATTCAGCAGCATTCCTAGCCTCTACCTTTTAGATGCCAGTAGCCCCCATATCCACCTCCCAATCTTGACAATGAAACATGTCCAGAGACTTTGCCAAATGTCTCCTACAGGGCAAAATGAATCCTAGTTGAGAACCACTGCTCTAAACTTACATGATAACCAGAGTAATCACTATCACTGTCTAGACCTATACTATCCAATGCAGTAGCCACTAGACATTTGTGCATATTAAGGACATGATATATGGTTAATCCAAATTGAGATGTGCTGTAAGTATAAAATATACACTAGATTACAAAAACTTAGAATAAAATATAAGTAAAATACCTCATTAATAATTTTTATATGAATTACATTTTGAAATGATATTTTGGTCATATTGGGTGTGATAGTTTTATTATTGGCTCAGTTTGGCTAGGCTATTATCCCAAGTTATTTTATCGAATACTAACCTAGAGTCGCTTGCAGGTATATTGCAGATGTAATTAAAATCACTAATTAGTTGACTTTAAGTAAGATGATTTTGCAGATTTTGTATAATTTGGATGGGCTTCTCTGATTTCTTTGGAAAGCCTTAAAAACAGGCCTGAGATTGCCCAGGGCAAAAGGAGAAATTCTGCCTGTGAATGACAACTTTGGTTGACAGCTTCTAGGCTCAACTTGCCTGTGATCCTCCCTTCCTGACTTCCTGTCATATGGGTTCAAAAATGCCTGGCCAGTTCCCACAATCGCATAATCCAATTCCTTGTAATAATTTTTTAAAAGTATAAAAGTATCTCCATAATCTTCTACTGGTTCTACTTCTCTGTTTAATCCCTGACTGATACATTGAATTCAATAAGATATATGATTAAAATTAGTTTTATATTTTTCTTTTTACTATTTTAAATGTGGCTACTAGAAAATCTTAAATTACATATGTGACTCCTATTATATTACTACTAGACAGGTCTAAGGCACGTCTAATCCCAGGGGGAGCAAAGGACCTTTACAAAACTTTAGGTCATCCACAGAGACAAACTGATTTCAAATGAACTGAAAAAACAAACTTGATATTCTCTCCTGTCAATACTGTTTTGCTTGCTCCCTCGTCTCCAAGCCAACAGATGCTGTGAAGAAGATTGGTGATTTGTTTAATTCAGGTCCATAAAGCAAGTAAAATATCAAAGATTTAGACTGGTCTTTGGACGTACTAAGGGAGTTGCCTTTAAGAGATCATTCCTTACTCCTAGTAGGTATTAATTGGAATATAGAGATGGCATGAAATTTTTAAAATTGAAAAATTGCATGGAATGCTACATTCACCATGTAATGGGGAGGCCTTAAAATTGTCATTTAGAATAATATTTTTTTTAGAGGTAGGGGTGTGTGCATATGTGTGTATATATACATGTATGTCTTCCACAGATACCAGCTGACCATTCAAAAGAATAAAGAAGGGATTCTGGAGCTCACACGGGAGAATAAGACGTGGGTTAGACTCTTCCATAGAATCCAGTGCTGAAGGCCATCTTGCCTGAAAAAATCCTGTCAGAGCCTCCTACTCTAACTTAGATTTTGCAGAAAAGACTGGACAGAGTTGTGGTGGTTTTGGGGACTAGAAAGACGGTCCTTGTTGATCATAGTAGGGTTTCCTGCAAGGTAGGTGTAAGTTTGCACATCAGAAAACAGATGAAAGAAGTACTAGCAGGAGCTACCTTGCTCCTCTTAGCTCTTGTGTACTCAGACATATCCTGACAAAGGAAATGAGTGCTAGGTAGTAGCAGTAACTGAAATGAGCAAGGGACCATCCTGAAAAAAAGAAATAAAGACAAATCTCAAAGACTAGGGTCAAGACCACCACTCAGGAGAAGGGAAATGCTAGGGTAAATGTATTATCTCCCTTTCCCAAATACATGAAAGGGAGGTAACTCTAAAGTGAAAGGTAAGTACTTGCATGTTGGATATGCTTCATAATAAGTTTTACTTAAGCAAAAATAAAAATAAATAAAGGAAAATTAGACTAAAAAATGGCAATTTATTTCAGAGCAGTTATTTTTTACTCTATGGTAAGCAGAGTAGATGCAACCCAGTTCTACAACTTAGATCAGTCTCACAGGGAAAGCCTCATTTTTTATTTTCCTGATTCTGCACTTCAGCCTTAGAACAAACTAAGACAACCTCACTGCTGTGGGCAGATGCAGGCAGTTGTTTTGCAAGCAGAGGTCAACCATTTTTAAAAAGATACACACACAGTAAAGTCTCTAGAGCTCACAATAAAGTATACAAACTTACATAGGCAGATTTTTGTTTTACAGGTACATTATCAACTATTTTTAACTGAAATATTAATATTTCTACAGAGGCAAGCATGGCAAAACACAGCAGAACTAGTAAAGACATACACACACCTACATTTATTTGCTCAGGAAGACAAAAAATTATTTCTGATGATTCAGACTTAAGGAGAAATTAAATGTTTCTTTGCATGTTTTATTGCAACTTTGCGTTCTCTTTGGGGACTGGATTCCATCACTGGTGTCACTGACTGTTGATATCTGTTGTCAGGAGAATCCAGTAAAGCCTCCACATGGCGTGCCAGTTCTGTCTCCTTACACTTTAGCCAGGAAATGATGCTATTCAAGCTCCTGTCCAATTCAGTAACATGTTACTAATTTAGACTTTGGAAAGGTATTTTTCTCATAGGGAGGCAATGCCTGATTTGTTACCTTTGATTGCTCTTTCCAGCTAAGGCTATATTTGTATAAATTGCAAAATCAAATTTAAAAGATTCGAGTCATTAAAGGTAGAAATTTATTGTCCAACAATCTTCAAATAAAATTAAGTTTTCTATATTATGTTAATACTAGCTTCTGGTTATTTAATAATTTGCAAAGATAGGTGAATGTCTCCACTTAATATAACATGAAATAATGTATAATAGCATAAAATTTTACTTAAACATCATGACACCTTTTGAGGATCACTTTACTTAAACCTGAACCAAACCTGGATACAAGAGACTTAGAAGAAAGGCAAGGCAGTCATTATTTACCTCCACATATATGTCCTTTGCAATTAGGTGGATGTCCAATGTCTCTGAAAAGGTGTTAAGTCTCAGCACCAGATGCTAGTTGGAATCATAAGCCATATTTGTAACCGGTAAATCTTAAAAATTGTTTTGTGTCTTAGAAAGCACAGAGGTCAAAGTATCTTAATCCACGTGTGAGTCTGCCCATAAATTCTTAAAGGTATGAGTTTCTATTTGAATTTTGAGAAGGGAAGAAGGGAAAAAGACACGGAAAAAAAGTTACAATTATCTTAATGTGTTAGGAGGCAACAAAGGGAAATCCCTTTATTCTACTGAGTCACTGGTAGCTTTGCCTAATAAGAAAGAATTAGCACTCCACTAAAGTTGCCGGTGTCAGTAATGGTTTCAAGGGCACTGAAGGATTTAAGAGAAGGGCAAATTAATTTCAAAGAATGTAGGAAGTGTATTTCTACTTCTTTTACTACTCCTGACTTTCCCCTAACACTTTTCTGGTGGCTGGTAGGGAGGTATGAGTGAAGATAAGGGAGGAAAAAGTAGTATCTCCTCTTAGATCCTTATCGCTATTCATCTCTCACTCCAAGACTAAAAGCTTTTGAAATCCAAAGAAAACATTATCATACTGGGCTTTAAATGCATTTACAACTTTCTTTCATTAAGGAACTCAGAGAATTTAAACTCTGACTTTCATGGTTTATCATTCAATGGCGATAGCAATGAAATATATCTTCCTCACACAGACTGTTTTTCCAAAGTACAATGCCAAACAGAGGAGGAGTTATAATAATTTATTATGGTGTTGAGAATAAATAAAAACTAGTCACATTTTTAGATTATTCTTTATTTCAGGATTCCGATGATCTGTAAAGAATTATTTTAATTATTTTAATAATCCTCATATGAAAGATGTTATAAATCTATAGTATACTAATATAATTAAAATATCATGCATTTTGATAGGAAAATGTAGACATAGATAAAACTATTAAAAGATCTATACAAAAATATGTGCATCTCTGACATCCATTAAAATACAGCTTAATGTTGAAGATAATTAACACGGGAGTCAATCTGCTCAATTCAAATCTGATTTCCATACTTACTAGCTGTGTGAACTTCATTTCCTCATCCATAAAATAAGATTAACAGTAGTGTCTACCAGATAGGATTATATGGGGATTAAAATATGTTAAAATGTAAAACATTTAGAGCATCATTTGTGTCAAGTAAGCATCATGTGAATGCCATCTATTATTATTATTTGTCTCTCTCACTAAATAACTAAATTTGATGAGGGCAAGAATTATGTCTATTTTGTTCCACATTAAATTTTCAATGCCTAACATGATGACTGGAATATACTAGCCACTTGAGAAATGCATACTACTTGAAAAAATATTCAACCATGATTATGAGTTATCAATTCTTGCATATTTTAGAAGGTGGTGATGGATCATATTTTACTTGTTTTTTATGATACAACTTTCAAAATACTATTTAACTACTAAAATGATTATACTTGAAAATTTGAAAAAATATTTTATTTCTAAATATTTTAAATTTCTGTTAGAAATACAAGGGAAAGTTGCAAGATTTTACTACTTATGGAAATAAGATATGCCAAAGGTACTTATAAACTGCAACGATTGGCCAGGTGCAGTATCTCACACCTGTAATTCCAGCAATTTGGAAAGCTGAGTTGGGCAGATTGCTTGAATCCAGGAATTCAAGACCAACCTGGGCAACAGGGTGAAACTCCATCTCTACAATAAATAAATAAATAAATAAATAAATAAATAAATAAATAAATAAAAATGAGCTGGGTGTGGTGGTGCACAACTGTAGTCCAGCTACTTGGGAGGCTGAGACAGGAGGATCCCTTGAGCCCAGGAGGTTGAGGCTGCAGTGAGCCATGATGGTGACACTGCATTTCCGCCTGGGCAGCAGAGTAAGACCCTGTCTCAAAATAAATAGAACAATAAAAGAGAAAACAGAAAAACAACTGCAACAATTGAAAGTTTTTTATATTTCAGAAATTTTTTCATGTACTGTTTTTTCTAGAGCACTGAAAAGCTAAATTGTAATTATATTAAGGACATTAAGCATGTTTTTAACATTGCTTTATTTCAAAATTTATAGATGCTCATACAAAAACTAGATAAACTATAAGTAAGTATATTATGCCTATAATAAAATGTTAATAAAATATAACTATTTCAACAGAAAAAAATTGAGAGCAAGATTTAAAACCGAGCTTAAAGGAAGGAACTTTAAATTTCTATTCCCTTTGTTCTGCAGATTTAATATTATTACATTTCTCTAGCATTCCTTATTAATGATTAGGGTAGGATAATCTACATTCTATTTTGTCTTATAACACTTGTCTCTATATTTATGGTATTCTACATGCAGAAATTACAAAATTTAGCCATTTACTAAATATATTTATGCTGGACATTTGAGAGGACAAGGATAGATTTTAATGATCCTCTTGGTAGTCCAAGTTAGAGTTTTCAAGTATAATGGAGAATTTTCTTGTTCTCATGACGTGTGCTGAATGTCCCATAGGAACATACAATTACTCAAAGGGTGTAATCTCTAAAACTTCACCAAACTCCAAGTGAAGATTCACTTCATTAGTTTTTCTTCCTCCTCATGAGGCCGTTTAATTCTGTCAAAATGTTTACATAAGGTCTATGTCTACCACAGTGCCAATGGTAATCATCAGGCCAATACATTTTCCCCAGACTCTCTGAGCTCAACTTCCATATGTAACTGGGAAGAAAGGCCACAGGCATTCAAAATGAGAAGGCTGGTAGTAGCAGCAACCAATGGAACAAAAATCAGTGAAAATAGATTGTATCAGTGATTCCTGTGAATGAGCTGATTTTGTAGTGACGTATTTCTAAATTGTTTTGTTATATTACATGTGTTTTGCTTATGATCGTTTTTATCTACTTATGATCATACCAAAGCTTGCTGTTGAGTAGACAGATAGTTTGTAATTTTGTCTAAGACTTACATGGCCAGTTTAAAGCATGCAATTTTTCTCTATTAATATGGCAAACTGTTAATAAATTCAAAATGTTATCAATTGAAGATTTTCAAATGGCAGATTCAGGAAGTTAAAAGAATAATCTCTGTCATCAAGGCAATCATCCTGATTCTTTTAAGATGACAATTCTCTTTATTAAATTATTATAAGGGTTGTGTATTTCAAAGAATGCCTCTCATTATGTTTTCTCTAGATACCTCACAAGCACCAGATAAAATAAAATGCCTTCTTACATTATTTCCCATTTTAATATTAAAAAAACAAATTATTTATTCACTTAAACATAGAATCTTTATAAGAATCTGCCAATTGTTATTAGAGCACAACAGATTAATTGTAACAGATGAACAAGCAAATCTTGTTATCTATTTAGTGGCTAATTAAATAATGCCAAACACAGCTGTTTGCTGAATTATTAATATTTTAGATAAATATTCCAGATTATCCGTAAATATCTGTATATTCTTTGATTTTCTAAAACTTTTTATGTTTGATTGGTAAACAAATATTTCTGGGGAAAGCGTACTACTCACCATTAATGAAGACTATAAAAAGGAATACTCTCTCCCCCTTGAAGCACCTAGTATGTGTATGACTTAATGGGCAACCACTCCAGATACAGTGATAAGAAGATATTAAGAACAGTTTCTTTCAGAGATGTTGAAGCCCATAAATGTAAATTATTTTGGATCTTTATTTTATCGTGTTTGATTACTTGGTAAGATAAGCTGAACTTTTTCCAGAAAAAATAATAGATTCAACACTGTATACTAATGATCCTTAAAAATTTTCAAAATAAATATACTAAGATGATATCTACCTAATCTCATTTTTGCCATTAAATTTGTTATCTCAGGTTAATTCATTTTTTCTCTTCGAATTTTATTTTCTCCATCTATAAATGAGATATCATTTCCCATGTGTACATAAACCAGACAGAAGTACAAATGATTGCAAATAATACCTTTTATAGATTATCAATGGTGAAGTTTGCAGATTTGGAGATTTGAGTAAGATTTTGGCTGTGTTAGCGTGTTTCATATTTGATGATGTGCTAGATAAGACTGATGTGTCTGTACATGAGAATTATCTGGGGAGATTTTAAAACATATTCCTGAGCTACTACTCAAATGTTATTAATTTGTCTCTCATGACAAGGAAATTTTTAGAGATCTACAATTTAAATAAACTCTCAGGTAATTTCAGAACCACAGTCCAAAGTGAAACTACTGTCTTGATCAATGTTTCTCAAATTTTAATGTGCATAAGAGTCATTAGGGATCTTAAAAGGCAGATTTTAATTCATTATGTCTAGATGGAGCCTAGATTCTGCATTTCTAAATAGGTCCCATATGATGCTAACATTGCTGGTCCATGGGCCATGCTTTGAATTTCAAAGCTCTAGTCCAGATGAAACTCTTGATAAAATTATCAATGTATGGCATCACAGTTTAATCATAGAATCGTAAAATATCATAGCTAGAAAAGACCTGGACATCAGTAAATCTGGCAGTTTTGTTTTACAGGTGTGAGAACTGAGAGCCACTGAAGTGACTTGACCATAGCTGGTTAACAGCAGAAAGGGAAACAATACCAATACCTCCTTGTTGCATTCATTCAAGCTTATCTGTCATGTTTAAAATTTTGATATGTTCAGATGATGAGCATCAACTATCAATAGTTATTCCAATGGCTTAGGTCAATGCGACAGTGATATATATATTAACTTAGTTTGCATCCTATCATTCATGTTTTGGGATTTTGTTAACAGTAGATTTATATACATTAGCCATTGTGTGTAAACAAATTATGCAGTTATTCATTTATCTTTGACTGTCTAACTCACTGGCCTCAGGATGCATAAAATTCCCTATTTATAGCATTACTCTTTTGGGTTGCAATGGCTCTCACTCTGATTGTGAGTTAGAATACCATTGTGGAGATGTTACAAATTCAACTATTTAAGGCTTGACCCCTACAGATTGTTATTTAGCAAATCGGAGATGGGAGGTAATCTAGAATTCTGAATTAGAAACAAAAATTAGATGATGTAGACATTTGTGGCATTCCTGCTAGAATCCAGTATTCCTGATAATATTCCTCTTAATTTTGGGAACCACTTTTTTCCCCATGCTAACCCACCCTTCATTTCCAAGGGCGGGGGCCCATTTCATAGGCCTTGATAAAGTGCATATTTCTTCTCTCTGTCCAACTGATTGGCTCCAACAGGGATATGCTACTAAATCCAGATTAATGGGAGTGAACCAGATGCTTTCGCAGAGGCATTGAGGAAGAGAACAGGCTCTTCTACTGAGTTGCTAAGGTAAGATAATTTTGGCCTCAACTTTCTGGTCCCATACTAGCTGCTAGGAGAGAAAAGCCTGCCTGAGACTGAAACAAATGAAACAGAGGAAGGAAAGCAGGTTCCAGAAGTGAAGAAAGAGGATTTACTAATAACATGATTAAAAAAAAAAAACTATATCAAGTCATTTCAGAAGCCAACTCTATTTATGCCTTTTAATCACTTGAACAGAAAAAGTGTTTTTTTGTTTGCTTGTTTGTTTGTTTGAGTCTCGCTCTGTCACCCAGACTGGAGTGCAGTGGCGCCACCTGGGCTCACCGCAGGCTCCGCCTCCTGGCTTCACGCCATTCTCCCGCCTCAGCCTCCGAGTAGCTGGGACTACAAGCGCCCGCCACGACGCCTGGCTAATTTTTTGTATTTTTGGTGAAGACGGTGTTTCACCTTGTTAGCCAGGATGGCCTCCATTTCCTGACCTCGTGATCTGCCCGCCTCGGCCTCCCAAAGTGCTAGGATTACAGGCATGAGCCACCGCCAATGTGAGTTGGATTTTGGTCTCTCATGAGCAAAAGAGTTCTAATTAAGACATCACTTGAATCTGACACACAAAGTTGAGAACCATTGGTAAGCTTTCTGTTATGCTTTTTTTGTTGTTGTTTATTTTATTTTTCAACAGACCCTTTCTAAATGAAAATCTATAATTTAAAATAGGTAAAACTTTAAGCCATCTGCAGTCAACTAGCACATTAGTTTCTCTTGAATTTGAAACAGGAAACATACAGAACTGCAGAGAGAAGATTCTGAAATACATTAGACCTAGCAGCTTCCCCCTCACATCCTTTTCTCTATTACTCATCTTAGGTACAGGTAGAAATATAACACCAATGAAATTATTCTTGCTCCAGAAGAACTACATAAAATGGTTGGGCCTGAGTTGAGTTGCCTCAGAGACTCTTTTAATTCCTTCTGATGTTGGCACCAAAACCTGATCTCTTGCTTTCCTTGGCCTATTAATTCAGGCTCTGGTTTGACCCACCATTATTTGTTTCATCCTGGGTCACTTTGCGTGCCTTGACAAAGATGAGCTCTTTTAGTAGCACGAAGTACTACAGCTGCCTGAGTCAGTGGGCTCAGAGTTTACTTCTTAGCAACTACCTGGAGAAGTGACTGGATCCTAAATCTCCTTTGATCTCGCCCTCCTCAGCCTTTTTCATTTTGAGCCAACCTCCATACCTACTGTCTATTCTCTCTGGGCTTTGTCCCCCTCTCACCCCCATCACAGGTCTGCTCCATGCTTGGGAAAGACAGGTAGAAGATAAAGCTCTAAGCTCCTCATGCAGCCTGAGAGCGATATGCGATGGTGCAGTTATGGAGATGAGCTTTGATCTAGATTTATTTAGAGGAGACATCCAAAGATAAATGTATACTTAACAATGTTACTAGGGCTACCTAGTAACCAATATTCTGAGGCTATGAATTTTAACAAGTTTAGTCATCTTTCCATTCTCCTTCCTTTTTTCATGCACCGTATTTTTCAGACACTTAATGTTCAGCCTGGTGTAAACCACTGAATCTGCTGGCAAAGATGGATGCAATGAAAGCTCTGACACACACATACGTCTATCCATCTTACTCCCGATGACATGATACAACCTTCTGAATGGCCTAATCCTAAAGTCTTGAATATTTATGATGCTTAAATTTTCTGGCTCTTTCTCATTCGCTCAGACTGCAAGAGCTATTGTGGATTGTAATAAAGTAAGAAAAATACACAACGAAAGAACTGAGTTAAAATTTACCAGGCAGCTCTTTTCAACTTGCAGAGCTTTAGGGAAATTTAAACATGCGACTATAGGGGGAATTGTAATTTGTTTTGCTGTAAGTGAGGAATCTCTTCCTCTGCCATTGACATGCATCAAGTACAATCTCATAGAACATCATCCTCTATATTGGGTCTAGCTTATCCTTAAGGACAATTTCTTATTTCAAAGAGAAAGTAGTTAGCAAGAAAGGAAATTAAACATAATGTAGATTGGCTTCTGGTGTTTTCCTCTAAGGCAAGAGATAAACCTATAGCCCATAAGGCCACCATGGTCCTAAAATTAAAGATCAGTTTCTCCTGTCCAAAAAACTAAATATGCATAACTCTGAATGACTACGATTATTCTTTCTTAACTTTAAAGCTAGATGTCAGGAAAAGACATTACAAAACCTAATTCCTTGTTAGGAGCCTATTATTATCTTCTAAAATTACATATTCCAAAGGATATAAATGCTGTAATTATTATTCTTATATACAGATATATTATAGATGGAGGTTTAAGTGAGAATAAACTGTAAAAAGGAGATAGAGATAGGTGTATCTGTTAAGTTGCACTTAAAAGTGTTAATACCAGTATTTTATTAGTAAAATAAACCAGTCATAAACCAGTATTTTATCTTTGAACATAAATAGAGAAAAACACTAAGATACCTATGCTGAAAAAAACATATATTTTTTAACTTTGCTTTAAGACTTTTGGGTTTTCGCTCTCTCTCTTTCTCTCCCTCCCTTTTTCTTTCTCTCTGAGTGTGTGCATGTTTGCGTGTGTGTGTGTGTGTGTGTGTGTGTGTCTGTCTGTCTGTCACTGCGTCTGGCCCTGGTTTTAACTTTAACTTTGGGTCTTTATGAATAATTAAGGGAATTAAAATTTATATTTCTAAAAAATAGATATCATTACTATTATTCACATTTTCATATGCTTTCAGTTCAATTTATTAATAACATCATATAAAGATTTACCCTCTTCTTTATCAAATATACAATGCCCCAACTATTCTAGCTTATTTACTGCCTTATTTGATCATGTATTCATTAAATTTTTAACTGTGGTATTTGCAGGACATTTTACTAAGTAAGGTGATCTTTTACACCTTTGCAATTACGTAAGCTATAAAATAACATGTTGCATTGATCCTGATGCTAGCAATACCACATCAAAACTCCATTACTGTCATTTACTATTTTATTTAATAAATGTTCATCATTAGTCTTTGGGAATGTGGTAAGCAAATAGTACATGTTCTCTTCCACCAGCTCATTGCTTGGCTCATAGAAAACACTTGAAAAAGATTAATTGAAAAAAATACATTTGTTGATTGAGTTTAATCCCAGAAGGCATAAAACATGTCCGAATTCTGTATTAGTGATTAGCTAAGGATATACATTGTACCGTCGTGAATCTTAGACCTCTGTGCTTTGCTCTCACTCAGAAACCTAGGAGTTACCCAGAAAGCAAAATGTTTATTTTCTATTACAATCATGCTCAATTTTTTCCCTTTTATATTTCTTAGAAATTTTGCAAAACTCTGCATCCCTTCCTACAAGTTCTAAAATTTTTCATCATAAGTTGAAGGATTACAAGTGATATAATTTATAGATTATTGTAAATGTTGACATTTAAAAATAAAGTTGCCATATCCCTTTTAAAAACTGAGTTGATGGACTCCAAACACTATAATATTTTTAGATGTCATTATCAACTTAAAATATTTATCAAAAAATTATTTCTTAACATTTGGAAGGTTTTCATCTTTCTCTTTTCTCTTTGAATTCATATTTTCATTCCACCTCTCTCACGAAAATTTTACCCAAGAGCTACATTATGATTCTCTAAGGAAAAAAGTGTACATATTGAAAATTTTAAATTTCCTCCATATTCTGTGATTTCACATCCTGTAATATATTAACCTTTAGACTATAAGAATCTAAGAATCTAAAGGTTAATATATTGCAAATCTTCATAAGTTATTATTAAACCTGAAAAATGAATTTTTTTTAGAATGCCATCGAATGAATGGAGCTTTAAAATCACCTATCTGTGGATTAATGTATTTTACAGTTAGAATGAGACAGCGTTCATCAATAAATCTAACCCTATATTTTACTTTTAAAGATACAAGTATTGAGAAGCCTTATGCACATCTGTACATACACACACACACACACACACACACACACACACACACACACACACACAGTCTTATTGGGGCAATGTTACTTAATTTTTTTGTCTCCTTCCAAGTAACGTTGAATACCACAAAGAACCAACAACAGATTTATTTATATTTGAAGTGGAAATAGTACGGTTATAAACCGGGCATGCTCTCAAGCAGATCAATTTTAGGAAAACATTCAAATGACATTCAATTCCTTTAAATCTCTCTGCAGTTTTATACCCCTTAGAAAGTGAGGTGCTAACAGATCCATGATGTATACCCTGGTGTGAAAAATATTGCTTAAAAGCACACTTCCAGATGTGCAAAGTATACCACTATACACAACAAATAATTTTTTCCGAAAATGTGATTTATAACAGTATTTGGTTTTCATACTTATAATTTTTAGACAACTATGTAATAAAATATAGTATTTTCTAAAGATTCAGTGCCTTGGGGTCTCATCATGAAGTGTTTAGTAATAGAACTTAGTATTTTAAAATTTTGACAAGTTGAAAAATATGCATGAAGAATATAAAGACACTAGGTACTACATGTAATACCCTGAAGCTATATTTATATATAACAACAGATTCCACAGGCTAGCAGAATCAAATATTTCATCCATATTAATAATCTGTTTAATAATCAATACTGCAACCCTGAGATTAGTCGACTACACCATTATTCCATACCAAATTAAAAACTGCAAACTTCAACCATAAATAACAAACTGGCTGAATTTTTATTTTGTTAAGAATAGCAGTAACTCAACAAATAAAACTAAGTGTATTCAAATAAAATGTTTTAGGTAGATATAGGGCAGTTGAATAAAAAAATGCTACAGCCTGATAATTTAGGCAATAAAAAATGACTAAATATTATTGAATATATATGAATTGAGAAGGGTATTAATGAAGAGTCATTTAGATGTGTAAAAATCAAATGTTTTAAAAGACTATCATTCTACATTGCCCCCAAATTCCTTCTTAAACCAACATTTGTAAATGTAAACATGAGTAAAATAACTTATAAGACAAGAATAATTTATAGAATTTCTCCCCAATAATAATGTTAAAAGTATACTTAAAATGTAGAATATGTATTATAAATGTTTTATAAAATATTACCTACTGCTTTAAAGCTCTCATTGCCTCTATACTTCCATGAAAGAAAAGCTTACACATAAAAAATAATAATTACAATGAAATAGATCTTCTTGAATTCACTTTCAACTAAGGTTTATTATTACATAGCCTCTGTACCCAAGATAGAGCATCTGAGATTTTTACTTAAATGTCAATTTTTTTCATGTAACTGTGTGAATAATACTATTAAGAAAATATATTCAGGTGATTTAAAGTCAATTCTCCTAATTCTGAGTATGTAATCTTTAAGGACATTAGTGCACATGTGTTGAAGGACATATATCCCTTAGACTATTTTTGACTAATAAACATTTCTAACATTTTTTAAAAGTACCCTAAACAACTATTTAATAGTTTTTCTGGCAAAAATTTGATTTGCTGAATCAAGGAAATAATTTAAGAAACAATAGTAAAACAGCTTTGTATGAATTTGCAGTTTATACTAATTACTATATGAAGCTTAATTTTAAAATAATTTCAAAGAAAAATTTAAATCAAAAGAAAAGATTTTTTATTAAATAGTAAATATCAATTTATGAAAAACATGGCTTTATAATAGTCTTATGGAATTCAGTTTATAAGTATAAATGAGCAAACATTATTTATCTGTTTTCCCTTCTTCCATTTCCAATGAAAATAAACGTGCATAAGCTGTTATTTCCAGATAATGACTAATAACTCACTTAAAGCTTGACTATGTTCACTCTCTATGGGAAATCAGCTATAAATCTCTTGAAGTTTATAGACAAATCTAGAATCTCTAAACCTGGATTTGATGGCTGAAGTCTGTCTTGAGTACTTGAGTTCTCATTCTGGATTTGCAGGTGTATAAACCCTTCCTTTCTCCTCACAGAGCTTTATAAACACTTTCATTTCTGGATGCCTTTGCCATAGTTGAGTTTGACTGGCTTAGCTCTTTTTTGCTGTGTAAGTTACAAATCCAAAGTTTCTAATTTAACATACACTAAGTGGATTTTACCCCAGATAGTGTGGGGTAGTCATCATTTTCTCAGGGAAGGCTGAAACTGTAAGTTTGGATCCCATTGTTTGAATCCACAGTAGGTATTAGGAGAGAGCAACAGAAGCCAGGGTTATCTTCCTGGGTAAACCCTCAACAGCCTGCCCATGTGTAGCAGTAACTAAAACACTGCAATTGTTTTAAGTCTGGCTTGAATGTTGGCTGTTTTCTCACAACAAATGTACCTCAAGATGGTACTACCTGCTCCCCAGTGCCCCTTCCAGATGCAGTTCCTACCCCTTCCTGTCAAAATCTCTGTCTTCTGAAATTCCTGCCCCATTGCTGTCCTCCTTTGTCCTAGGTTTATCGTTCTTATCATTCAGGTTGTGACCACTTCACTCAGTCACCTTATCTATTCCTGCAAGTAATTCCTCTACAGCACATCCAGGCACATCCAGGTAACTCCACTCCATGACAGTGACACATCACACATACCAACTGGATATGCCTTTGCCTCCTAGGCTGTTATGTCCCTCACCGTCTTGTTGTCCTGGCCCATAGTCATCACCTAACATGCAAAATAATGATGGCAAAAAAAATAAAAGGAAAAGAATAAGAATAAACATTTAAAATCAATAAATCTGACCATGGTGAGAATAAATCATGGGTGTCATTTTCTGGGCCATTTCTAAGGCTACAGAATTCTCCCCTCATTCCTCAAATTCCAGCTCATATTGGTCTGTGTATAAATGAATCCATACAAATCTACTGAATAAGGCATTTAAAAAATAATCAACAGAAAAGTAGTGAGATCACCTTCATTGGAAAAGAAATTGAGTATTTTTTTTCTGACTATAAATCTTGACCTAATTATTAAACAAAACCTTTATATTAAAATAAGTAAAATATATTTGAACCATGCTGAAAACCAATATTACCATAAGAGAAAAATAATTATTATCAAAGGTGAAAACAACTAACCTTTTTTTCTCAAGGGAGGCTCATCTATTTCTCCTAGACCAAGATTAAAAGAAAAACAAAGTTAGAAAATATTTTAGCATAGAATAATATGACATCATTATTTTCCCCTTTTGTTTATTTAAAAAAATCTATTAGTTTTAACAATCATAGTCTTTACATTACTTTGCTTCCCAAATTCCAGTTTTTAAGTATAAAGTTTGTTTATATACATTTATATAAGATTGTTTCATTTTTATGAATTCAATAAAATTGTGGCAGTGATCCAAATTATACATTATAGGTTATATATCATATTAATTTCAACTCTCTATTGTTCATGTTGAACTCTTACTGGGGCCAAAACAAATATAATTTCAGGAAAAGTTATAAAAATACTCTAATAATAAAAGCTTTCCTGGTAGTCAAGGCTGAATACATGATTTCTGATGACTAAGACTGACCCTAAAAAGTGTTATCTAATAGATGGAATCACAGTGCTTTGTTCTTTTCATACTCATTCAATGGCAGCTTTTATGTGGTTTGAGATGGCTATTTCCTTTTATTCATTAATATATATGAGAGAGCACATAGGTTAGTTGCATAATTGTTAGGACATTTAGAATGTGTCCTTCTATTCTACACCACCATTTGGTCCAATAAATTTACTCTTTTGATTGTACTTTTAGTAAGATTGCTTTCTGCTATTTGACTATAAATATGACATATGTGTATAAAACACTTATATGTATTTTTAGTTTTACTGTTTTTATTTTAATCTTCCTAGAGATAAACTTGAAAAATAACTATTTTTTCCAAAGAAGCATATAAATGTGAGTTTGTATTGTGGTTTTATAGCAGAGCATAATGAGACTCCCTTTGCTGTAATGCTACATTAATATTAACATTTAATTTTGACATCTTTGCCATAATGGTAGATAAGCTATAAGATGAAAATTAAATAAAGAACAATTTACTGTGTTTGGCAGCCTGTTGATATGCTTTTAGCAGTCAGAAGTGTATTCATTTTGGTTTAGCTTGACCCAAGTGCTCATTTGAATTTAAACTGAGGCAAGCCACTATAATACATATTTAATGTTGCTCCTAGCAGTTAGATATATCTCTATGTTCTTTGTACCTTTATCAGTATCTTCGTCACCATCATCATCTTCTTCATCTTCAGATGAGATGATGTCAGATAACAAAGAAAAGAAGCCATAGATCCAGTCCGTGGTTTCCTCCATAGCATCACGTACCAGTTTTAAAGGATCTGAGCCAATCTTGGCAATAGAGCTTGCTAAAAGTAATTAAAAAAAAAAAAAAAGAAAAAGTTTGTGATCATTTCCAAATAACTTAAGAAAAGCTGTTTTTACTGATTTGTTGTTTTGACAAAAAGAATATGTCAATTTCAACATTCTAAATATCTCCTGGCTACAATTTTTTGCGCAGAAATAGAAACTTCATCTTGCTATAATATGCATGCATGCCAAGAAAGAAAATGCCCTTGGGAAGTTTATAATCCAAATAAGAGTTAGCACTGGAAAAAAAATTAGGAATGAATTAAAATAATGTGTATTTATGTTACCCAGAGTGCAAATAAACCCTATGTTATGGATGTTCAGGAATGGAAGAAATAATTTCAGCACATATTGTATGGGACAGCATTATAGAAAAGATGACTCTGTAAGTTTTCAGACAAATAACAAGTTCTGCAAGTTGACTAAGGTAGTTGTGGCTAAATTAAGACTGATAGGCCCATTTATTCTAATTTGTGATACCACAGGAAGAATCTGGAATAGTCAAGTTAGTGATCATATCAAGCTCTAGTTGGAATAGGTTGGATTTATCTTAGTCATCCCTGTACATGAAATAAAAAAGTATTTGAACTGCTAGTAACTTCAATGGATAGAATCTATAAGTCTTCCCTTTTCTATGTCCTAGGAGATATAAAATGTTTGCTAAATGAAAGATTGAATCATAAAAAAATGCAAACAAATATATTAGGGATTTCCAAAATTTTATTCTTCCAATCATATGAAAACTGCTCTGAAGAGGCAAGCATAGCCTTTAGGATGTGATTACAGAGGTGATCTATCTAGAAATATGGTATAAATTGCATCTGATTTTTTATCAAGCTGTAATTAAATTTTAGAGCTGTGTTTTCCTTAATTTTAAAAACTATTTTAGCTTTTCAGAGATTTTTCTCTCTTTGATATATTTAAGAGATGAGAATTATATCAATGTATTATACTACCTAAAGGTTAAGTACATCTAATTAGGCTTTTACTGTGACTAACATAGTAAGTCATTGGAAGATTTGAGCAGAAAGATGAAGTGATTTGACTTCCTTTACTGTGTTGAAGTTTGAAAGGGTGCCAGGCTGGGAACAGGGAGATGAGTATGAAGCCAACTGAAATCATCCAAGAGAAAGATGATCATGATTTCTATCAGGGTGGTAACAGTGTGTGTGGTGAGATGCAATCAGATTCTGAATGTATTTCAATGACAGAATTAATAGTAGAAGCTTCCAGTGTGGCTGTGATGTGAGAGAAAGACAGAATTCCAGGATAACTTCTAAGTTTTTGGTGTGAGAAACTAGAATGAAGGAAGGAAATGCTCTGAGCTGGGGGAGGACTGGAGAGAAACAAGATTCTTGCTGGGTGTGGGTGGGGTTGGGAGTAGAAAAGTAGCTGAGTTTTAGACTTTCAAAATTTGGGTTGCCTATTAGATACTTACATCAAGATGTAGACATTTGTGTAATGCAACATGATTTACAAAAGAGAAGCTCTAACTGAAAACAGAAACTTCAGAATCCAACGGAAGACAGAAGGTATCAAAGCCATAACAATGAGTGAGATCACCAAGGAAGTTGACCCAGAGACACTTTAACAAATGTCAGGGAGATAAGTCAGAGAGATAGGGAGGAGCCAACAATGGATTCAGAGGGGAGATGACAGAGAGAGTGACAGGCAGAGCAGGAGTGAGCAAGAAAGAGAGAGGGAGAAGGAACCAAGAAAGTGTAATGCACCAGATATCAGGTTAATACATTGTTTTTGAGGAGGACAGAGTGATCAACTGGAAAATGCTATGGATAGGTCAAGAAAGTTGAAGACTGAGAATGGACCTTTGGATTGGATGACGAGGATGTCACTCATGACCTTCAAAGAGCAATTTCAGTGGAGTGCATTCAAGACAAAATAGAAAAATTTGGAGGCAGTGAGTATATTTTTATGCATATGACAGAGATTGAGTAATACTAGAAGAGGAACTAGGATCATAGTGAGTTTTTCTGTTTTTACCATTGTTCAAATAGGAAGAATATCCCATGGTTTATACTGATGGGAAGATCTCATAGAGAGCGGAAAAATTATATGAACGAGAGGATTTCTGGGGAAATTTTTAATTTTATATTCCATTCTGAGGGATTCGTGGAGCACACAGACCATTCAGTGACCCCAGGAATAAAATGCTGCTTTCTGGGAAGCCTGTCTCCATGATTCATTGATAATGTACTTTCACTCTTTGCACCCCATTTTACTACACTCCAGAGAGTTTCATGTGAGCAAGAAATGGCCGTTTGAATGGTGAGATTAAACCTTAGACAAAGGAAATGAAATGGAATTTTATAATTGCAATTGAGGATTTTAAAAGAATCATATGTAAGGAACTGGATTGTTCTGGCACCATTAAAGGCATTTTTAGCAGTGGTATATTTTATACCTAATGGAAAAATCTGCAAATGAGATTTTTATGATGAGAATAGATTGAGACTATTTCTCCATTTCCCTTCTTTCTAAGTGTTAACTGAAGAGCTTAACAATAAAATCCAACAAAATTGGGATCAGTTTAATTATCCTTATGCTTAAATGCACTGTATGTATTTTGCAGATATATATATATATATATATTGCCTGGTTCTAAAATTGCCAAAGCAGGCTATTTTTATGAAGTTATCATTGCTAGCTTGAGATCAGCTTCTGATTTTCTGATTTTCAGCCATGTGGACCACTTCTTCCAAAACCTAAATACACACACACACACACACACACACACACACACACACACTTAAATAAGACAGTAGTCCTGAAGTTGATTCTTATTCTGTCTTTCAGACCTCACATCCAAATCCAGATCATATCAATGGAAAAAATATTATTCAACGCAAACTAAAACTTTTATTGATGTCTTTTTTTAAGAAGATACTTAGGTAATTGTATTTTCTTAGCTTTCATGTTTCCCTAAGTTTAATTATATACATGACTGTGAGAATCATCTTAAAAATAACAGTCAGACACCATTATAAAAACTTTACAGGTATTAATTCACATTTTCTTCTCAATAACCCAATGACATAGGTATATTATTTTATACCTTTTTTAAAAACATAGGAAAACTAAGGCACAGATAATTTAAATAAGATGCCTCAGGTTACATAGTAAGTGATGGAGCCACGTTTTACACCCATTTTAGGCCATCAAAACAAGATTCTTAACTATTGTGCTATATGCTGTCAAACAAAAAACATAAATTCACAATTGATTCTAAGGTCTCGTTTTGGGTGGGGAGATTTTAGAAGGGGTTTTCTTGCTCTTAAAAGGAAGAACAAAGACTTTACTGCATGGGAATAAAAAAGCTTGCAGCTGCTTCAGTCATCTTGTAACCATGAGAACAGTAGCTGGCTCTCTGAGAAAGGCAAGGATTAAAACTGGAAAAAAAAATGAGTCCACGATGACATTGCTAAGGCCTTGAAGTATCCAATGTTGAAATCACTCTACCTTCAGCACTTCTGTTATATGAGATAAGAAATGTTTCTCAGTGTTCAAGTCATTCTTAATTGTATCCAAGGTTTCTTCCAGAAAAATATACCACTGAATGCCGGGAAAACTGCTTTAGGTTACTTGTGGTCAGTAATTGGATTCTTGGCACTGATGAAAGAGTGCCAAGAGAGACAAGAGAGGCCAAGAAAAGTTTAAGTAAGATTTTTATTTGTCCTCTGGTTTTGAAGCTAAACTATGCGTGTACTTAAGTTTCTAAATGGGACTATACAAGAAAAATAATCATTTTCTCTGCTTCCCTTCTAAAAAATCAAGACCATAGTTTCACTGTTATCTTTGGCCATCAGTCTTAGAGTGTGTAGGTAATATTTGACCCTTCTTTATTTTTCATATCCTGAGAAACATTGGCACACAATGGTTACAAGCTTGGGTTCTGAGTTCAGACTGATAGCATTCAAGTTCAAGCTTCCTACCCAGCGCTGTGCCAACTATATTGAAACAAAAGGAGAAACAGTAATAATCATTCTGCCTTTGTTTAAAATGTTGATATTTTCTTCATCATATATTTTTGCATTAATTTTGAAAATTTAAACTCTGCCTGAAAATATTATTTGTTTCAATTTTTGAGTGTTTTGGAGGACTCCAATTTTGCACCCATGGTACTTAACTCACTTTTCTCTAGTCCTGGTACTTCCCCAACCTATTAGCTCTATGATATTGAGAAGATTAACTTTTGCCATGTCTATAAAATTTATCAATGCCTTGCTTTCCCAAAGTCACTATTCCAAATCAAGACCTCAACTTTCCAGTGCCTGTTATTCCTCTATTCAAACTCTCTGTACTCCAATTTAGAACATATTCAGTTAGTGGGAAAAAGGATAAAGTACTCTGTGCTTCCATTTGCTGAACCATAAAATGACAATAAGACTGCATAAGGATCTTATGCGTAATACATGAGATAATATAGACAAATCAAATGGTACGATGCCTGCTAATTAGTAAACATCAACGTGAAGAAATAAGCAAGATTGTCTGTTGAATGACCAAAATGTTCTTTTCAGCTTGCTAGCCAGAACTAATAGCTTCCCCTCCCCTCAACAGGAGGCCTGTGTATGATCTCAGTTTCTCCCAAACTCTTCAAGTGCTACACAACTGGTGTTTCCAGCATTCCCTGATGCACTTAGCACCTAAACTCTGACTGCATAGCGCTCAAACCCAAATGATTAACCCCAACCTTAATGCTACCCTTATGCTTTCCTTCCAAGGAAAGAACAACTAAGAGGTGGAGTCTCTAGATTTGCCCATCTGCATCTGTCTGATCCACTCCACAGGAAGGCAAGAAAACAGGGGTCCCAGGAATCTTCTGCCCTTCTGCCCATGACTCTGCCTGCACCAGACGACACTTACTGGTGTTCACTCAAGCACAGTGTACGTAAACTTTTTGGTGTAAAGCATGTGTATTAGTCCGTTTCCATACTGCTGATAAAGACACACCTGAGACTGGGTAATTTATAAAGAAAAAGAGGTATAATGGATTCACAGTTCCACTTTGCTGAAGAAGCCTCACAATCATGATGGAAGGTGAAAGGCATGTCTTACATGGTGGCCAGCAAAAGAAAATGAGAGCCAAGTGAAAAGGGAAACCCCTTATAAAACCATCAGATCTCAGGAGACTTATTCACTACCACAAGAACAGTATGCGAGAAACTGTCCCCATTGATTCAATTATCTCCCACTGGGGCCCTCCCACAACATGTGGGAATCATGGGAGCTCTAATTCAAGATGATATTTGGGTGGGGACACTATCAAACCATATCAGCATAGAGGGCAGATAATATGGTTTAATAAATGTTAGATAATTATCAGTTTAATTTTCATGACCATTTACCTCAAACATACAATGCTCCATAAATGCAGGCTGCTATAAATATTAGCATGAGATCACTTAGTCACCACGCCCTCATAGCGAACCTTGGTAAGGTCCATGAAATCCAAAGACTGTTTTCATTGGAACTCATGAAACAACTAATGTTTGCCCCTGACCTCCCAGAAAATATTCAGATCCAAATATTTGGAACTAAATTGAGGTAAAGGTTTTTTTTTAATGTCATGAATGCTACCCAAACCAGGAACAATTAAACTTGGTATATGTTGCTGTATGTACCTTCTGTATGGTAGTACTCAATATGAGCTTGGCTAAGCAAAGCAGAGATTTCTCTTTTACAACAATTATTGAGCACTGATTATGTACAATATTCTAAGTGTAATATATAATTGATATCTAGGTGGTTCTAATTTTGGTATGTGAGGAAAGTTATTTCAAAATACATAGAGATAATTTTCTAGACCTAAAGAAATAATTTTAAGTGACCAGTTTTTCTCCCTTTCTGTAAATATGTATATGAATATTTTTGCTTCTGTTGGTGAAAATTTTATCAAGTTAAGAAAAATTTTAGCAAATTATGTGTCATTTAATATGCCCTGAGTTACATGTCAATTTTTGCTTAAATTACTGTGAAATTACTTAGTCTTTGTCTTGAAGGTAAACAAATTTCTTTAGAACTTTCCCAATGCCAAATGAAACTTCAGATGTGTTTCCTCATTCCCATCCCACCGCCTAAGTTGGGAAGAAAGAAAAAACAGATAGGAAAAACAAAACAAAAATGTTTTTAAAATCTGAAGTGGTGGGTCAGTATATGCATAAAACAATGCTCTTTCCACTAAGTCAATAGGTTTCTTAGACTCAGAAATGTAGCTGAGAGAATACAAAGACTTATGAAACAGTTTGGGCTCAAGGTCTGGCATTATTTGTTAATAGTCAAATATTTCTTAAGGTTATAGGGTAGAAATGCTAATTTAATTTATTTCTAAGCAGAATCCATTGGAAACAAGAAGCTTGCACAGTGAATTTAATAGTCTTCTGAGACTTTGGGTCCTGGAGTTTTCAGCATCAACAATACTAGGCACAGGTGTTTACGAATAAACAAAAATATGTGCTTATACATTCACAGTGAAATTTGGTGTCTTCATTGACCTGATGTTTACTGAAGACATTATACTTTAAAGCTTTTTAAGTCCAAACAGTTTCTCATAAGTTGGGCCACTTGTCCTGGGTATGTTTGGTTGACTTCACTGATGTTAGAACTGCCGTTTTTAATTTTGTCATCACGGTGGAAGAGATTTCAACCTCTTAGAGCCAAATGCCTTTTTTTCTCCCATGAATTTATTGCGTTCTTATTTTCTGTTTTATTTCAAATTGAAAGTAAAGACAAAATTAGAGACATAAGTAAAACATCCAAGGAAGTCAAGCATTCAAAAAATGTTTATTGCAACACCTTTATTCCTCTGTATTTAACCCCTAAGATGAGTTTATATCCTGCCAGTGGACGTTTCTAAATGTATAGTACTGGAATTACATATTTTCTTATTATTTTTTCTTGAAAAATGCAGGAAGGATGGCTATATTTGTATATATTGCTTCAGTTCCAGAAGCAACACTTGATATTTTGGCATCTGATAAGCCACTTTTGTTGTAACCAAAATAGTA